>NC_000004.12:83315320-83466835 GCF_000001405.40 Homo sapiens | reverse complement strand
GCCAGGCGCAGTGGCTCACGCCTGTAATCCCAGCACTTTGGGAGGCCGAGGTGGGCGGATCACGAGATCAGGAGATCGAGACCATCCTGGCTAACACAGTGAAACCCCGTCTCTACTAAAAATACAAAAAAAATTAGCCGGGCATGGTGGTGGGCGCCTGTAGTCCCAGCTACTCGGGTGGCTGAGGCAGGAGAATGGCGTGAACCCAGGAGATGGAGCTTGCAGTGAGCCAAGATCGTGCCACTGCACTCCAGCCTGGGCAACAGAACGAGACTCCGTCTCAAAAAAAAAAAAAACTAGTGGAAATTCACAACAGCTCTTAAAACTTTGCTTAAAACGGCCATGTCACTTCTACTCACATTTCACTGGCCTGAACACATCACATGGTAATAGGCAGGGATATATAATCCTTCTTACAGAATAGAGGGAAGTATATTTGGGAACAGTATACTTCCCTCTACTTCATGTGTCAGTTCTTCTTCATGTGTCAGTTCAGGTCCTTTTAGAACTAGATGTCAAGATGGGATTATAAGTGCAGGAGATTTATTGGGCCTGAGAAGGATAAAGAAGAGGAAGAAAGAACAGGCAGGAAGAGCCTTCAGACAACACTGCAAGTCTGACCCCTGAGAAAGGAGAGGGGGATAAGAAGACAAGTGGTTAGGAAGAGTCTCAGACTGCAGCGCCATTTTAAGAACGTTCCACTAGGCTGATAGGGAGTCTTTGAGCAAAGTTGCCCGAAAATTGTTCTATAGGCATGGACTTGCACTAATACCTGCAGTGTGCTTAGTCATTGGCTAGGAACAGCCCAGGGGAAGTGTGGCTTAACACAGTGGTAGGTCCAAAGCTGGGGCTGTTAAGTCAACTATGCTTCCCCCAGTTGGAGATCTTACTAAGGAGTATATTTCCATGGCCACCACACTCATCAGTAGAGCACACTAACAGAAAAGCAGTTAAAATAAATATTTTGATTCATATTACACTACTTTTTCATATGAAACGGGAATTTTAGATGGTAAAAACATCCAGAATCTCACCATCTTATTTTTTAGAGACAGTGTCTTGCTCTGTTACCCAGGCTGGAGAGCAATGGCATGATCTCAGCTCACTACAACCACCACCTCTTGGGCTCAAGTGATCCTCCTCTTTCAGCCTCCAGAGTAGCTGAAACCACAGGTGTGCACCACTACACCCAGCTAATTTTTTGTATTTTGTGTAAAGACAGGATTTCACCATGTTGCCAGGCTGGTCTCCATCCCCTGCGCTCAAGCAATCCACCTTCCTTGGCCTCCCAAAGTACTGGGATTACAGGTGTGAGCCACCACATCCAGCCTGGAATCTCACCATTTTAACATAACTATTTTCACTCTGCCATTTGCTCCAGTTTTTCCTTAATATATGTATACTTTGATATAGTCAATAGTCATGGTGACATAAATTTGTCATGATTTTTAAAAAACTTGGTACATAAAACATTGTTTCTGTTGCTACATATTCTTTAGTTGTTTTTAGTTTCTTCTTTTTTTTTTTTTTTTTTTTGAGACAGAGTCTCAGTGTGTCGCCTGGACTGGAGTGCAATGAATGGCATGATCTTGGCTCACTGTAACCTCCGCCTCCCTGGTTCAAGAGATTCTCTTGTCTCAGCCTCCCAAGTAGCTGAGATTACACGCACCCACCACTACGCCAGGCTAATTTTTGTATTTTAAGTAGAGACAGGGTTTCGCCATGTTGGCCAGGTTGGTCTCGAACCCAAGACCTCAGGTTATCTACCTGCCTCAGCCTCCCAAAGTGCTGGGATCACAGGTGTGAGCCACCTTGCCCGGCCTCTTTATTTTTAATGGCAGTATATTTCATAGAGAATGTTATGGAAAAATACCAACTTGGGCTAAAATAGGGAATGTAGAGGTATATCATAAGAACTGTAGGCAGAAAGCAGCTGAACTTTAGGAAGGAATTGGAACCAGGAGCTAGAATGCCATAGAACTTTCTGTGTCTGCACATTGCTATCCTTCCAGACCTTTTTGTTTCTTCATCCACTGGCAGGCCAGAAAACAGCCAACCCACAGCTCCTGCATTTAGATCTCTTCTAGAGCATAAGATCTGCCAATTGGCTATGTAATACCTCCAGATTGCCAGGCAAGAATCTCATTGGTTCTGTTTGGGTCAGCTCTGGTGAAAGGTGGGTACAGGGGTAACTGGCAAACTCTTATGTCAGGGCAAAAAAAGTTTGTAAAAAGTAGGCTTGGCAGACATCCTAAAAAGTGTCCACTAAAACTGGCAAAACAACTATTACCCTACAGTTGGAAATTAGTTGCTTTTTTTACTAATTAGTTGTTCTCCCCTCCCCCAGTTGTTTTATGTTATACTAAGAAACATCATCTTATATTTTTGTTGTTATTCAGATATATTCCCAAATGGAATTATGGCATCAAAAGTTACTGGTATTCATACTTTTAAAACTAAAGACACACAGAAGTGATCTGCTTTTCAAAAGTAGTTTCTCTTACAGGAAAAAATCTTCAATAGTATCCTTTCGTAATAGTAAGATAGTCACTTTGTTTCACTTACTGTGAGTTTCTTAGTGTTAAATTTATGCAGTAACTCTGCATCTGTATTTTTTTTGTTTCAAAGTTTTTTTGTTTGTTTTTGTTTGAGACAGGGTCTCACTCTGTCGCCCAGGCTGGAGTGCAGTGGTGCAATTTTGGCTCACTGCAACCTCTGCTTCCTGGGTTCAAGCGATTCACCTGCCTCAGTCTCCTGAGTAGCTGGGACTACAGGCATGCATCACCACACCTGGATAATTTTTTATATTTTTAGTAGAGACAGGGTTTCACCATGTTGCCCAGGCTGGTCTCGAACTCCTGAGCTCAGGTAGTCTACCCACCTCAGCCTCCCAAAGTGCTGGGATTACAGGCGTGAGCCACCGCAGCTGGCCCATGAGTTAATATTTCAGTTTATTTCTGTATATTTTCAGCGAACTAACTGGCATGATAAAAGCTGTATAAATGAGAAGTTACATGTGAAAAAGCATTTTACAACCTATAAGGCTTATTTATAACCTACAAGTGCTTGTTACTGACATCCTCCAGAAAATAAATAAAATTTATATAAAAGGCAAATAGTTTTGGGTATTATATACCACCAATGATTTTATATTATTTGTGAATCTAGACTGTATTAGTACACAGCTTGAAATATTACCTATGCCCTTAAATTACTTTATTTTGCAGAGTATATGCAAAAAAGTGGAAGACAGTGAACAAGCAGTAGATAAACTAGTAAAGGATGTAAACAGATTAAAACGAGAAATTGAGAAAAGGAGAGGAGCACAGATTCAGGCAGCAAGTAAGTAAACAACACATCTCTACTTTCTGTGCTAAAAATTTTTATTTATTTATTTATTTTTGAGACGGAGTCTCGCTCTGTCGCCTAGGTTGGAGTGCAAAGGTGTGATCTCAGCTTACTGCAACCTCTGCCTCCTGGGGTCAAGCGATTCTCCTGCCTCAGCCTCCTGAAACGCTGGGATTCCAGGTGCCTGCCACCATGCCTGGCTAATTTTTTTTGTATTTTTAATAGAGACAGGGTTTCACCATGTTGGCCAGGCTGGTCTTGAACTTCTGACCTCAAGTGATCCACCCGCCTCAGCCTCCCAAAGTGCTGGGATTATAGGTGTGAGCCACTGCGCTCGGCCCTTTCTGTGCTTTTAAAGAACATAATACTATGGTAGCTATATTGCTGACATGAAAGAACACAACTTTAATTTTGTCTTAGAATACTGTGGCATATAAATTAGAATTCAGAATTATGTATGTTATCCTCACTTTAGATAATACAACTGTTAAAATCTTTTTGACTTAATTTTACTTACAAATAGTTAATTATAAAAGCTTTGTAGAAGAAATGTTATATGTTGAACTGTTATTCTATTTTGTTTAGGAGAGAAGAACATCCAAAAAGACCCTCAGGAGAACATTTTTCTTTGTCAGGCATTACGGACCTTTTTTCCAAATTCTGAATTTCTTCATTCATGTGTTATGTCTTTAAAAAATAGACATGTTTCTAAAAGTAGCTGTAACTACAACCACCATCTCGATGTAGTAGACAATCTGACCTTAATGGTAGAACACACTGACATTCCTGAAGCTAGTCCAGCTAGTACACCACAAATCATTAAGCATAAAGCCTTAGACTTAGATGACAGATGGCAATTCAAGAGATCTCGGTTGTTAGATACACAAGACAAACGATCTAAAGCAGATACTGGTAGTAGTAACCAAGATAAAGCATCCAAAATGAGCAGCCCAGAAACAGATGAAGAAATTGAAAAGATGAAGGGTTTTGGTGAATATTCACGGTCTCCTACATTTTGATCCTTTTAACCTTACAAGGAGATTTTTTTATTTGGCTGATGGGTAAAGCCAAACATTTCTATTGTTTTTACTATGTTGAGCTACTTGCAGTAAGTTCATTTGTTTTTACTATGTTCACCTGTTTGCAGTAATACACAGATAACTCTTAGTGCATTTACTTCACAAAGTACTTTTTCAAACATCAGATGCTTTTATTTCCAAACCTTTTTTTCACCTTTCACTAAGTTGTTGAGGGGAAGGCTTACACAGACACATTCTTTAGAATTGGAAAAGTGAGACCAGGCACAGTGGCTCACACCTGTAATCCCAGCACTTAGGGAAGACAAGTCAGGAGGATTGATTGAAGTTAGGAGTTAGAGACCAGCCTGGGCAACGTATTGAGACCATGTCTATTAAAAAATAAAATGGAAAAGCAAGAATAGCCTTATTTTCAAAATATGGAAAGAAATTTATATGAAAATTTATCTGAGTCATTAAAATTCTCCTTAAGTGATACTTTTTTAGAAGTACATTATGGCTAGAGTTGCCAGATAAAATGCTGGATATCATGCAATAAATTTGCAAAACATCATCTAAAATTTAAATTTGTCCTACATTTGTACTTGCTAAATCTGGCAGCCTTAATTATTACACAACTATAACACAACACAAACAGTAATCTCTCCCCTAGTTTAGAGTCCTTTGCATGAAATTTAGCAAATCTATCATTTTGAATACAGTACAAGCCTGGTAATCCAGTGTATTTGGGATAGGCCAGTGGAACTCAGAACTGATACATATATACATGTATGTCTATCATATTCAATGTCTATTAGGTGTAAATCATCTCTTCATGTAAAAGACACTACTGGTTTGAGGGTAGACTCGTCTAGGAATATTTTGTCCTTCTGTGACAGCACCACTATCCATCCCAATGTAACATTTCTACAAAGGGAAGATATCTTAACCAGGCATACTTATATTTGCTAGTTGGAAAATCATTCTGAACAGTTTTAATTCCATTCTATTGAATGGATTATTGTATGAGCTATTTGGGGATCAGATATAAATGACAATCACACAGAACCACTTTTATTCAACATAGATAAAATGTGATGAGTGTTAACATTTTAAATAAGCAATCTGCTTAATGGACATTGGTATGAAGGGGAAGTGTCATTCTTTACCTCACTCCTCAAACACTTTTCTATCCAAAGGTTGGTTTGAGTCAGTATTGGCATCATACAACCACTTACTGTAAAATAAGTTTATTAGTGGTAACGTGATAGAATTTATTCCCGATATCTGATGTTACAAACTTTAGGGTCCTTGAGATATGCAGGATCCTTGTATGTAACTGGCATAAACCCTGTAAAGAGATAATTAAAGTTCTTGACAAAACATAATGAGCAAAATTTCAGCTAGCTCAATTCAGTTGTTGAGGTATTCTTTCTTACCCATTATTTGAGCTCTCTTAATTGCTTTTGTGATTTCTTTCTGTTTCTTCCCACAAAGACCTGTAAAATAAAAAGCTTTCTTATTCATAAAAAATGTCAATATTTAAAGTTTGCAATTTTTTTTTTTGAGATGGAGTCTCCCTGTGTCACCCAGGCTGGAGTACAGTGGTGCTCTCTCGCCTCACTGCAACCTCCGCCACCCAGGCTCAATCGATTATCTTGCCTCAGCCTCCTTAGTAACTGGAATTACAGGCATGCACCGCCACACCCGGATAATTTTTTTGTATTTGTAGTAGAAACGGGGTTTCACCATATTGGCCAGGCTGGTCCTGAACTCCTGGCCTCAGGTGATCTGCCCACCTCAGCCTCCCAAAGTGCTGGGATTACAGGTGTGAGCCAACATGCCCAGCCTCAACAAGTTTTTAAGTCAAGGATTGGTAAATCATTTTTGTCAAGGGCCACAATAATAATCTAGGTTTTGTGGGCCATACAGTCTCCATCACTGCCACTCAACTCTGCTGTTGTAGCTCGAAAACAACCATATGGCACTACGTAAACAAAACTACAAAAACAAGTGGGGTTGGGTGCAGTGGCTCACACCTGTAATCCCAGCACTTTGGGAGGCCTAGGCAGGTGGATCACCTGAGGTCAGGAATTCAAGACCAGCCTGGCCAACATGGAGAAACCCAATCTCTAAAAATACAAAAATTAGCCAGGCGTGGTGGTGCATGCCTGTAATCCCAGCTATTCGGGAGGCTGAAGCATGAGAATCACTTGAACCCAGGAGGCAGAGGTTGCAGTGAGCCGAGATTGTGCCACAGCACTCCAGCCTGGGTGACAGTGAGATTCCATCTCAAAAAAAAAAAAAAGTGGCATTTGTATATGATGAACCTAATCAAGATAAAAAGGGAGCAGGTCGAATTTGGCCTATGGGCCATAGTTTGCTGACACCAAGTTTAAGTATCAATCTAGGAATGATTATAGTATATTCCAAAACATCAACAACAGTTTTTTAAAGCCCAGTTTTTCTATATAGTTAACTCTGCATAAGACAGCAAAATAATAATCCTCTTGGCCTAAGAGACTTTTTCATAGTAACTAGCTCTAGTCCCTGTAGTATCTGATCTAGTAGTAATTTATAGCACAATTTGAAAATTTGAGTTTTCTTAAATGATAGAAATAGATTGATATAATTCGTATCTACATTTATATTCCCATAATAAAAAAGAACATACCTGTAATGTGCCTTCCATAAATGCATCCAGTAAATGGAGAAACAAACTGGGACAAAAGCTGTTTTGGAGTTTTATGTGGAGGGGAAAAAAAAGTATCTGTTATTTATTTCTGAATGTGTAAATTTCAAAAAACAACCTTCAGGTTATATAAAGCTTTACTAAATTTCAGACACATTTCATAAAATATAAGAAAAAAATATTGTTATCCTCCTGTTACCTTTTAAATATTTTCTATCCAGTGTGTCAAGTCTATATATAATTAAACAGCAGATTAATCAGCATATTCATTCAATGGTAAATCTGTTTTCTTGACTTCCACAGATACCTTTCTAAAATATTGCTTGAAACAAGCTACTAAAAAATTTCATCTATCCTGACAAGCTATCACATTACCCTCTGATAATCATTAAGATAAATTATCAGGGGGTAATGAGATTTTCAAGAGGTACAAGTACACCAGGCATTTGCTATAATTTATGTTTTATTTAAATACTTCTTTAGAACCTTTCTAGGTGCTAGTCATTATTCTTGGCACTTTGCATAATCTTCCTAGTATGTGTGTTTTTGTAATTCTTGGTTCTTCCTCAAAGGCAGCTATCACTTTATACTATTGTCAATATATGGAATTCTTTTTTTTTTTTTTTTTTTTTTTTGACAGAGTTTTACTCTTGTCACCCAGGCTGGAGTGCAATGGCACGATCTCAGCTCACTGCAACTTCCGCCTCCTGGGTTCAAGCAAATCTCCTGCCTCAGCCTCCCAAGTAGCTGGGATTACAGGCATGCACCACCACACTCAGCTAATTTTTGTATTTTTAATAGAGACGGGGTTTCACCACATTGGCCAGGCTGGTCTCAAACTCCTGACCTCAGGTGATCCGCCCGCCTTGGCCTCCCAAAGTGCTGGGATTACAGGCGTGAGCCACCACACCCAGCCAACATACAGAATTCTAGCGCTATTCACTTGCCCCAAATTTGCAACTTCTAACTTGCTGAGAGTTAGACAAGAGATAAGTAATATGTGAATCAGTGATATGGGTGGTGAGATAAAGAGATCAGCTTCACCAGATGAGCTTTTTCCAAAGTTCTGACCCTCACCAATTGAGAATTACTGCCACAGGGAGCTATTAAGATGTTTGGGGTAGTGAAAAAAACAGAGTGGAAATAACAGTAAGTGGGGGAAAGCCAAGGTGCTTTTACTTGAATAAAGCAGAGATAAGCTTATACATAGAATTATAACCAAATTTGAAATTATGAAGTTGCTAAAACAGTTACCTCTACAAAAGCCTGCTATAAACTGACTTGATTCTCTTTAAGCAGATCTATCAGAAGCAAAACCCTAAAATATAGTGAAGTAAAACCAGATCTCACCTGTACATTCTTATAATCTACATGCTTTCCACACAAGATACATTTCTTAAGAGGTTCTTTATAAGGATTTTCCATTGAAATGGGCTAGGGAAAAAAACGAAAAGTCTGATAATAGGATGTGTTAATTCTGAATTTTAAAAGGTTACTATTCTACATTCAAATCCATTCAAAGGATTAGTTATACCTTTCTTACTGTGTACATATTTTGTATAAGCACTTTATTTTGTTTTAGTTTAGCCTACGGATTAACGCATGGGAAGATTCTGGAATAAAGTACAATCTTCATAGAATAAAATTTTATGGCAGAACAAAAATGATGTCTGATAAGAAAGTGTTCCAATGCTTTGCTCAGATTGTAGATAATGAAAAAATTTTTAGATTTAAGGAAACTTACAACACAATAGATAACATATGCCATTCTTAAATGAGTACAATCCCTAATTTATCCATCCCCATGTCTCTATCAAGTATTTTATCACTATTTTTATACACAGATAATGGCCCATGACTTACTGTAATAAAAGGTTCTTTGACTTTATCACCCCAGGCTACTATATAAGTTTGTATCAGTCTTTTTGGCTTTTCTGTTACCACCACTGCCTCTAATGCTTTTGTCACAGTGCCTCCTTCCTACAGTCAGTATGGCTGTCTCCAGGATAGAGGTTCTTAATCTAGAAATGGCTTTGAAGCCCATGACTCCCTGTAATCGTATGCAAAACTTCAAATGAATGGGACTGTGTGCCTTTTTCTGTGGAGAGGGTCCATAACTTTGATTAGAGACAAAGTGGGATTTATGAACTAAAAAAGAAATAATGTCCCTTTACTTTCTTAAAGTATGGTGCATGGATTAGATTACCAAGACAGATGCTCAGAGAAACTAGACAAGTTCTTTTGTTTTTTCCAATTCCTCAAACTTTCCAATTTACATTCAGCTCACGTAACTACTCTTCAGCTCTGTGCCAAGTGCTTTGTATGGTCTAATTAGTGTCAAAATACCTTTGCATGTAGCAAGAACCTGTGCTTTCAGAAAGTCCATGTTAATACTATAGCCAACCTATAGCTAAGCTTTGTACAGTCTCTTTTCAGTTATCTAAAATTCTGCTCACCCAAACTACCTTTTAAAATTCCCATATCATTTGCTTACAAAGGGCTATGTAAAAAAAAAAAAAACAATTCCCAAATCACATATCCTTAAATTTAAGATCTAGGAAGAAAAATATGGTATTATAGCAGCTTTGCTTCTAATCTAGGAATTCCCCTACTTCAAAACTCAGCTGACTACATGACTACAATCAATTCATCATCATTTCTGAACTCAGAGTAATTATCAAATTGTTTTGTCCTACGGCAGAACTCTATTCAAGTAGCTAAAATAAAAGATGTTAGAGTCTAATACCAGATCTCGTTTTAAAAAGAAAAACATTTTGGTCATATTTGCAAAGGCCTTACTAATAGAAAAAAAAATTCTTACCAGGTCCTCATTGCTGGATACCTGTTGTGAACAACCTCTTCTCCAAAGCACTGCGATTAAACAGAAACAGCAATTAACCATTTCTTTTTCTTAGCTGAATAGCTAAAGATTTTTGTTTTTATGGAGACAGGATGAATTAAGGGACACGATATTAAAGAAAGGTTTTGTATTATATTCAGAATGGTTAAAAACTTTTATATTTGGGACAGAGTAAGACTCAACATGGGTGTGCTTTCCAGGGCTTAGGGGGAAAAGAACATATTTTCCCGCCCATACCTGCTCTTTCTGACATTTATTTTCCCTTCATTCCATGGTTAGAGAAAATTCTTAATGCAAATTCTTATAGGAGAAGCAACAGAAAGGCACTGTCATACCAAAAAGAAAGTAACAGACCCGTCCCAGAAAGAATTTATAGAGAAGCACAGAGAAGATAAAATTGCAAAAATTATGCAATTTTGTTCTGTTTGGGGACCTTAGACATCTGGAATTTGCTGCTGGGCGACTCTGGAAATGTCCCTTCCTCACTAAGATTATCCAGAGATCTTAGGAAAGTCTCTGCTTTTTAAGAACCACTCCAACTTCCTCATACGTTTAAATACTTTAAAGGAGTGGATTAGACGACACTAAAACAGTCAAAGGCAATTACAGATTCCCACCCATCTTGGAGAAACTTAATCGCCTAGAAACCAGAGTCGTTTTGCTAACAGGGACGACTCTAACCATTAGGACTAAGGTTAATGCCTGCAGCGCTACAATGGAGCATAGGATATGGAGACTTTACCCGTGTGAGTCCCGGGATGTGTAAGGCTGACAGCAGCCGTTACCAAGTGTGTCAACTTCTTCCTCCCTAGACCACCGCAAACAGCAACCACAGCGGCCATGGTTCCGCGTTTCTTCCACTTCCTTTCGTTCCAAATCGTTCCGAAAGGCCCCTTCCGCTGCTCTTCCCCTGTGGGCTCGAGTACCCCGTTCAAAGGTTCCGCAGGAGAACGCTGAGGACCCGCGAGAGTAGGTGAGGTTTTTCAATACGCATGCGCAGCACCTTTCTGTTCGTGCCCTCCCTACGCGGCAGGTCACGTGAGGCTTATGATTGGACAGGGTAGAAGTTTATGCGTGCTTCCGGTCCGCGAGCCCTGAGAGCTAACTTGGGGTCTTTTCCCAAGGTGGATGTAGAAGCGGGCTCCGGCGTCCCACTCTCCCTTCCATATGGGCTTAGCGTCTGGGTCACTGAGAACGACGTCTGAATAGGGCCCTGGGTCCTTGCCATGGATGAATGTGGTTCCCGCATCCGCCGGCGGGTGTCTCTCCCCAAAAGGAACCGTCCAAGCTTGGGGTGTATTTTTGGCGCTCCCACCGCGGCCGAGCTCGTGCCCGGAGATGAGGGGAAAGAGGAGGAGGAAATGGTGGCTGAGAACAGGAGGCGGAAAACCGCGGGCGTACTGCCGGTTGAGGTACAGCCCCTTCTACTCTCAGATTCCCCGGAATGTCTCGTCCTTGGAGGTGGTGATACAAACCCGGACCTCCTACGTCACATGCCCACTGACAGAGGGGTGGGAGACCAGGTACGGAGGACTTGGAACTTGAAACTGCAAACTTTTGGCATCCTTCCCAGATGCAAAGAGTTGACCAGTTTTATCGCCTTCGTTTACTTCTCTCGTCTTCGTTACCACTGTTAATCGGCACTTAGGAGGTATTGATTGCCTTGTTATTTACATTTCTATATAAATATGAAATGTAAACCCCGAGACATAAAAGTTGTGCACGCAGCAGTTAAGTGGCATGACTGAGACACAAATCTAGGCTTCCAGATAACTGCAGCTCCTACTGTACAAATAAAATCTGCTGTTTATTGAAGACCCGTTATGTTAAGCTAGTTATATTATCTAGATTTTACGACAGTAATCAGGCCCTGAAAAGTTGAGATAGTACAGTTCTTGCTCCAAATCCTGTTGTCTTAATCACTTTACTATATTGCTGCCTCCAGGTTTGTGTGTCTTCTGTGTAGCAGACCACTCCAAGTCAGTATTCAGTTTCTCAGTCTCAATTCCAAATTCCTAGGAACTCCTTGGAGTGTCTAGTGGTACAACCATGTTTCTGTTAGAGGCCAGTCACTGTAGATTGTAGTCTGGGAGGGAAGCGCTGCAGTTATCAGAAACTTCGAATGCGCTGACATTTCAGTAGACGTCTACCAGTCTTCCTGCTGTTTTAGTACAGCTTTAAGAATTACAATCTGGCCGTGTGCAGTGGCTCATGCCTATAATCCCAGTGCTTTAGGAGGCAGAGATGGGAGGATCACTTAAGCCCAGAAGTTCGCGTTCAAAACCAGCCTAGGCAACAGAGACCCAGTCTCTACAAAAAAAAAAAAAAATTTTTTTTTCTTAATTAGCCGGGTGTGGTGGCCTGCACCTGTAGTCCTAGCTACTTGGGAGGCTGAGGCAGGAGGATCGCTTGAGCCCAGGATGTCAAGACTGCAGTGAGCTGTGATCGTGCAGTGGCTGGAGCCACTGTGCTCCAGCCTGGGTGACAGAGCCAGACCCTGTCTCAAAAATTAGAATCTCAGTATCATCGTAACACTCCTGAACCTGCTGTTTAGGCAAGTAATTTAACCTCTTTGGGCCTCCATTTCTTCAGCTGTAAGATATCTATTTACATATAGGTCTGTGATCCATATGTGACCATATAATTATATACTTGGTACAGCCCTAGGCTGAAGTGTTTTTTGGGGGTTTTGTTTGTTTGTTTGTTTTGGTTTTTTTGAGACAGAGTCCCACTCTGTTGCCCAGGTTGGAGTGCAATGGCGCGATCTGGGCTTACCGCAACCTGCGCTTCCCAGGTTCAAGCAATTCTCCTGCCTGAGCCTCCGAGTAGCTGGGATTACAGGAGCATGCCACTATGCCCGGCTAATTTTTGTATTTTCTGTAGACACGGGGTTTGACCATGTTGGCCAGGCTGGTGAAGCTTTTATTCTTAATGAAACTGGAATTGACCATAAGCGTTTTTGTTCTCTTTGCAGCCTAATGACAGTGAAGTGGACATGTTTGGTGACTATGATAGCTTTACTGAAAACTCCTTTATAGCTCAAGTTGACGACCTGGAACAAAAATATATGCAACTCCCTGAACATAAGAAACATGCTACAGACTTTGCCACTGAAAATCTTTGCTCGGAAAGTATCAAAAACAAACTCAGCATTACTACCATAGGCAACCTTACTGAATTACAAACTGATAAGCACACAGAGAACCAGAGTGGATATGAAGGTGTCACTATTGAACCTGGAGCTGATCTTTTGTATGATGTACCTTCCTCACAGGCTATATACTTTGAAAATTTGCAGAACTCTTCAAATGATTTGGGTGATCATTCTATGAAAGAAAGGGATTGGAAGTCATCCTCTCACAACACTGTGAATGAGGAACTGCCCCATAATTGCATAGAGCAACCCCAGCAAAATGATGAGTCCTCTTCCAAAGTCAGAACTAGTTCAGATATGAACAGGAGAAAAAGTATTAAAGATCATCTAAAAAATGCCATGACTGGAAATGCGAAGGCCCAGACACCAATATTTTCTAGAAGTAAACAGCTCAAAGACACTCTCCTATCTGAGGAAATTAATGTTGCTAAGAAAACAGTTGAGTCATCATCAAATGACCTTGGTCCTTTTTATTCATTACCCAGCAAAGTGAGAGACCTTTATGCCCAATTCAAGGGAATTGAAAAATTATATGGTAATGCTTTTTGCTGGAATAAAAAAATTTTTTTCCTATCATTACCATAATATTAGTGCAAGTAAATAGAAGCAAATGCTTTCATGGTCCATACTGTTTCTCATTTTGAAAACAAAAGATCAGTGATCTCTCAGCCCCTTCCATTCCTACCTGTCCTGCTACCACTGAACCTCTTTCCTTCCCTCACAGTCACACTTATCAAACCAGTTATCCTTTCTGTCTGTTTCCTTACCTGACATAATTCCTCTAATTCCTCATCTATAAGAAAGGGATAATAAGTTGTTAGCAAGTCAGATTCTGGTTCAAAGACATGCCAAATTCAATGTTGGTAATGATTTTCAATAATTATATTGGTAGCTTCTAAGTAAGAACTTTAGTAAATTACCCCACTCTAATTCTGGGTTCTGTGCTCTCATTCTCTCACTTAAGATCTGATGACTGAGACGTCTAAACACAGTGTTACTTTTAATGTTTACCTTACCTGACTTCTCAATAACTTACCTGATGCTATTGACTACACCCTTCTTGAAATTCTTGTTTCTGGATGTCCTTACAACCACTCCTGTTTTTTGACCCCGATTGTCTAGTAGAGATCCTCAGCTTTCTTAGTTGTATTTCCTTGGCTGGCTCTGTCTTCTCTACCAAAACCTAGCTGTTGTGGTATGTCTTTGACACTCACATGTCTTGAGTGAAAGAAGTCAGTTATTAGTAATACTGTTGATTAAACCAAACATCTTTCCCCCCACACCAGCAGCCGCAGCTACCTCTCCCCACGGGTGCATCCCTGCCACCACCCAGATGCTCTGCCTTGTGCTGCCTTTCCCAAAGCTAGACATCTTTAAAGACAGCTGCAATTAAGTTTTAAGTCAGGGATGTCCAATCTTTTGGCTTCCTTGGGCCACTTTGGAAAAAGTATTGTCTTGAGCCACAATAAAATACAGTAACACGATAGCTGATGAGCCAAGAAAAAAAATTGCAAAAAAAAAAATCTCATAATGTTTTAAGAAAGTTTACAAATTTGTGTTGGGCCACATTCAAAGCCATTCTGGGCCTCATGAGGGCCGTGGGTTGGACAAACTTGTTTTAAGTGCAAAGAAGCAATAATATTAAGAAGGTATCTTGTAATGTTTTTCAAAAATCCAGGGTCCTTGCATATATTTCAGATATGTGTCATTTTAGACCAAGAAGGGACAGTTGCTGCCATACTGGAGGGTCAGCCCCATCAACCTTCCACTTCGTAAGTTTTCTGGAACTCCTGTTAGGATCTTATGAATGATATGAAAACTTGGGTTCTTGCAGAGAAGACAATCAGGTTGGAGAAGCAGAACTACAGGAAACAAAGTCTAATAAAAGACTCTACAAGAATCCAAATTGTGAGGTTCATGACTTAAGAGCTAATGGTGTGTGTTGCCCTGGAAGTAGACGTTAACTTTCTTCCCTCTGTTCTTCCCTCTGTTTTTCTGCTAGCACCTTGCTTTTTGTTTAGTCTGCCAGAATGAATATCCTGAGGACAAGGCTCTATCTAACTCATCTTTTTGTTTTTGTTTTTGTTTTTTTGTTTTTTTTTGAGACGGAGTCTCGCGTGTTGCCCAGGCTGGAGTGCAGTGGCGCATCTCAGCTCACTGCAAGCTCCGCCTCCTGGGTTCGCGCCATTTTCCTGCATCAGACTCCCCAGTAGCTGGGACTACAGGCGCCCGCCACCACGCCCGGCTAATTTTTTTTTTGTATTTTTAGTAGAGACAAGGTTTCACCGTGTTAGCCAGGATGGTCTCGATCTCCTGACCTTGTGATCCGCCTGCCTCAGCCTCCCAAAGTGCTGGGATTACAGGCGTGAGCCACCGAGCCCGGCCTAACTCATCTTTTTCTTAACTAGCACTGTGCCTGGTATACTCTGGTAGGTTCTCAACTGCTGGGGATTGTCACTTAAAAATGCAACCTTAGCACTTTGGGCCTAGTTCCTCATCTATAAAAAGGGATAATTTTTTTTTGCAAGTTAGAGTCTGTGTTAAGGACATGCCAAATTAGATGTTGGTAATGATTGTCAGTAATTACATTGGTAGCTTCTAAGTAAGAACTTCAGTAAATAACAACTTTTTAAATCTTTTTACCTCTAAATCTGGCTTAATAACATGACCAGATTAAAGCATAAATGCATGTGCTACTTTTTATTAAGCTAAAGCGGTGGTTCTCAAGTGTGGTTCCTGGACTGCAGCATCAACATCACCTGGAAATTTGTTGAAGTGCATGTTCTCAGACACTTCCCTAGACCTACTGCGTCAGAACCTCTAGGAATACGACCTGGCAATCTGTGATCGTGGCTCACTACAGCGTCAACCTCCCAGGCTCAAGCAATCCTCCCACTTCAGCCTCCCAAGTCGTGGGGACTATAGGCATGCGCCACCATACCCAGCTAATTTTTTTATATTTTGTAGAGATAGGGTCTCATTTTGTTGCCTAGGCTGGTCCTGAACTCCTGGGCTTAAGCAGTCCTGCTGTCTCAGCCTCCCAAAGGGTTGGAATTACAGATATGAGCCATTGTACCCGGCTAGTTTTTTTTTTTTTTTTTGATGTGAAGATTGTATTCATAAATATTAGTTATTTTGTCATGTTATGCTTAAAAATCTGAATTGGATAAAATGTGGCTATGGTTAAGTTATACTTTGGCATAAACATCTAATTTGATAACTCGGGTGATACCAATCTGAAGTATTTTTCAATATTTATTGAATATTAAATTTAAGTATTTTTGAAATATTTTTAAAGAAAATATTCACAGTCACTTGTAGTATTTGGGAATCACCCAAAAGCACAATAAGTTAAAGTTACTTGTAACTGTCATTCAGATATAACTTTCTTTTTTTTTTTTAATAGAGATGGGCTCATCTTGAAATCCTGGTCTCAAGTGATCCTCTTGCCTTAGGCTCCCAAAGTGCTGGGATTACAGACATGATCCACCACTCCGGGGCAATGATCTGCTTTTTTTTTTTTTTTTTTTTTTTTTTTTTTTTAAACTTAACTGTATATTGAACATACATAGATCCATCTATTCTTCATTTTTAAACTGCAAAGAATCTCATTGGTTGATTGTACAATAATTCATTCGGCCTTTACCCCCACCACCATGGCACTTTGTTACCTACAAACAATGCTGTGTTTTATATGCTTTGGCTTCCGTTCTATAGATGTAGAATCCCAAAAGTAATACTACCAGATCAAAGGCAATGTGCAGTTCTATTTTATACTAGGTTACTTTCCACAAGGATTCTAGCAGTTTATGTTCTCACAACCGTACATGAAAATGGCTGTTTTTCCCCACATTAGTCAGCTCTGGATTTTGCATGTGTGGGGCTTTTTTTTTTTTTGATAGTTATTTGTTTTTTATTTTAAAAATTTATTTTGCCAACCCAGTAGAGAACAGCTGAGCATCTTCTCATGTATTTATTGGCCATTTGCATTTCTGCTGCT
The DNA here is from genome assembly GCF_000001405.40 of Homo sapiens. NCBI lineage: Eukaryota > Metazoa > Chordata > Mammalia > Primates > Hominidae > Homo > Homo sapiens. Next base: position 83,449,765 of record NC_000004.12, on the reverse strand, counting down.
TATTGGCCATGTATTTATTGGCCATTTGCCGTCTGCTGTGAAATGTCTTAAATTTTTTGCCCATTTTTCTAGTGATAAAACACTGAAGCACATTTTTAAAGACTTCTGATGATTTTTATTGTCAGATTATCCTACAGAGTAATTAATACTAGTTTTCACACGGTATCTTGGATCTGATCTATTTTCATGAATCCCGCCTTGCCAAATTGTGGGAATCCTAGGCGTGTCAGTTAATAATCCTAGTCTTTTGTGGTTTAAAGAGTTTTAACAGTTTAAAATGGTTTTGGACCCATTCGAAGTTCAGGTCTCCATGAGAGCTAGTTAAAGTTTTTATTAGTTTGTGTAAAACCTAATAGATTTGTTTCCCTCCTTCCCCTGCTTCTCTCTGAGATGGCTTTTGGCTGAATGAGGAAGGGAAGCTTATATAATCTCCTTGCAGAACATAAGAGGAAGACATTCGAATTCACACAGGTCCTTGTACTGTCCCTTTGTTCCTCTGATATCTCAGATGGCACTCCTTGTCCACGAGGCTGCTACCTGCCCTGCTGTAATATTGGACCCAAGTCTGCAGCTGGTGAATAAATGGGCTGGTTGCCCACCTTGCTGCCTAGGCCTGAACTAGGCTCTCACTGGCTGTACTACTTGCACATTTGGGATTTTTGACATGTAACATTGGTTATAATTAAATTTATCCTTATGAGAGGATTGCTCCACAGGAAGGGATTTGATTTTTTTTCTTAGAAAACTTTTGAGTTTCAAAGTTTGGAAGGGGAAAATAATGCCTTTTTTTTTTTAATTCCACAGAATGGCAACATACTTGTTTAACATTGAATTCTGTGCAAGAAAGAAAAAATTTAATATATTCCTTGCCAACAAGTGGTGGAAAAACCCTCGTGGCTGAGATTTTAATGCTGCAAGAACTGCTTTGCTGTCGGAAAGATGTTTTAATGATTCTTCCATATGTGGCAATTGTCCAAGAAAAGGTGTGTGTGTGTGTATGTTTTAAAACAAATGTTATTTGCTAGTACTTTGACGTTAAGATCTGTAAATGTGATAACTTTGTATTGTTGAGAAGTACCTCTTTTTTTTTTTTTTTGAGATGGAGTCTTGCTCTGTCACCCAGGTTGGAGTGCAGTGGCACCATCTTGGCTCACTGCAACCTCCGCCTCCCAGGTTCAAGCGATTCTCCTGCCTCAGCCTCCTGAGTAGCTGGGATTACAGGCCCATGCCACCATACCCAGCCAATTTTTGTGTTTTTAGTAGAGGCGGGGTTTCACCATATTGGCCAGGCTGGTCTCAAACTCCTGATCTCCAGTGATCCACCCGCCTCAGCCTCCCAAAGTGCTGGTATTACAGGCATGAGCCACTGCGCCTGGTGAGAAGTACCTCTTAATGATGGAGAATTAATATTTTTAGAATGTATAAAAGCAGTATACACTACCTAAAATATCTTCAAATACTAATTACCAGTTGTTGAAAGTTTTACTTTTTCTAAACTGGTGGATTAAACATCATCTTAAATGTTCTATTACTATTTACCCTGCTTTTTCTTTTTTGAGATGTAGTCTCCCTCTGTCGCCCAGGCTGGAGTGCAGTGGCACAATCTCTGCTCACTGCAACCTCCGCCTCTTGGGTTCAAGTGATTCTCCTGCCTCAGCTTCCCAAGTAGCTAGGATTGCAGGTGTGTGCCACCATGCCTGGCTAATTTTTGTATTTTTAGTAGAGATGGGTTTTCATCATGTTGGACAGGCTGGTCTCGAACTTCTGACCTAAAGTGATCCTCCCACCTCGGCCCCCCAAAGTGCTGGGATTACAGGTGTGAGCCACTGTGCCCGGCCTTACCTTGCTTTTTCAAGCAGAAACTATTACTAAAATGAGTTATTCTGATGCTTTTTTTTTTTTTTTTGAGACAGTCTTGCTCTATCACCCAGGCTGGAGTGCAGTGGCATGATCTCAGCTCACTGCAACCCCCACCTCCCAGACTCAAGTAATTCTCATGCCCCACGACCCCACCCAGCAGCCAGAATCGCAAGCACACGCCACCACGCCCGGCTAATTTTTTTATTTTTGGTAGAGATGATGTCTCGCCATGTTGGCCAGGCTGATCTCAAACGCCTGTCCTCAAGTGATCCACCTGCCTCAGCCTCCTAAAATGCTGAGATTACAGGCATGAGCCAACACACCCCTGATGCTTTTTGGTATCAAAGGCGCCAGTTGAAATTTATTTTCACATGTATTTTAGAAGTTGCATTTATTTTGCAAAGATCGAGACATTACAGCATTTCTTACGTATGTCTTGCCTGTGACCTTGTTCCTGTTGATGGGTATTAAACACTACTTTAGCTTTTTTGAACCCCATGAGCACCTAATGGGGGGTTTTTTACTTGTGTTTTTTGGTTTTGTTTATTTATTTATTTTTGAGTCAGGGTCTTGCTCTGTCGCCCAGGCTGGAGTGCAGTGGCATGACCAAGGCTTACTGCAGCCTCAATTCTCTGGACTCAGGCAGTCCTCCCACCTCAGCTTCCCAAGTAGCTGAGACTACAGGCCTGTGCCACCACAGCCAGCGAATTTTTTATTTTTTATAGAGATGAGGTCTCACTGTGTTGCCCAGGCTGGTCTCACCTTCCTGGGCTCAAGTGATCTTCCCGCCTCAGCCTCCCAAGGTACTGGGATTACAGGCATTGGCCACAATGCCTGGCCAATTTTTCTTTATTTTAACTAATATTCTAGATTTCAGGTTTGTCAAGTTTTGGTATAGAACTCGGTTTCTTTGTTGAAGAATATGCTGGAAGCAAAGGAAGATTTCCTCCAACTAAAAGAAGGGAAAAGAAATCACTCTATATTGCCACTATTGAAAAAGGACATAGCTTGGTGAACTCCTTGATTGAAACTGGAAGAATTGACAGTCTGGGTCTGGTTGTTGTAGACGAGGTTGGTTAATACTTTTGTAATTTGTCAATATTTTTATTATACTAAATATTTATTATTCTGGTTATTGTGTGGATCTACTTAGTACCTTAGTACCTCTATAAAAATAAATTTATTTGAAAATATAGACAATATAGGTGAAGACATTCTATGCTTGATAATCTTAAATTTGGTTTTGTGTCAAGTGTTTCTTGAAGTGTGAACACGTATGTGTGTAGTATACAATTTTATTGGCTGGGCGTGGTGGCTCATGCCTGTAATCCTAGCACTTTGGGAGGCCGAGGCAGGTGAATCACTTGATGTTAGGAGTTCAAGACCAGCCTGGCCAACAGGTGAAACCCTGTCTCTACTAAAAATACAAAAATTAGCCGGGCGTGGTGGTGGGCGCCTGTAATCCCAGCCACTCGGGAGGCTGAGGCAGGAGAATCGCTGTAACCCAGGAGGTGGAGGTTGCAGTGAGCTAGGATCACGCCATTGCACTCCAGCCTGGGGGTCAAGAGCCAAACTCCGTTTAAAAAAAAAATTTTTTTAGTAGTACTTATGAATCCCAGATTTATAAGGATTTTGTACCAAAAGCTCATTAACCTAAATACCAGTGAAATAATATACATGTATTATAGTTGTTATATTCAAAATACTTAAAAGTTATAAGCAACTCTTTACAAACAAATTTCATATGAATATATGCATGTTTTATATGAGCACTATATGAAGATTTACTTCTCTGTCCTTTTTAAAAAAAATCTCGAAGTTGCACATGATTGGTGAAGGAAGCCGTGGAGCTACACTGGAAATGACCCTAGCAAAAATCCTCTACACTAGCAGTAAGTATTTTTTCAAATGAGGTCATGAATTGATTTATAATCAAGAGACTTATAAAATACTTAATTCTATCACTAGCTACAGTATGTAACCTAAAGCAAGATACTTAAGCTTTTTGCCTTTGTTTTAAAATTTCTAATGAATAGAATTTTGAAGGTAAATGAAATTGGTATTTGAAGAAGTCCTCTATTATTATCCGCCACTTACTAGCTATGTGTGCCCAGGCACATCCCTCAACCTCTATGTTTCTTTATCTGTAAAACAAGGATAATAATGGTACCAGCCTGATGGGATTGTTGTAAGGATAGTGTGAGTTAACACATGTATTGCATTCAGCAGTGCTTAGCACACTGCATTCAGTAAGGGTTTGCTGCTGCTACTGTGGCCATCATCATCATCACCATAATAATACATATAACATAAATATTATAATAATAATATTGTAAAGCGATACATTTAAATAGGTCAGTTTAAGGAGCTATTTTGCAGCATCAGGTAGTCTTTAAAGTTTATGAAAAATTTATTCTAAATGTCATAACCTACTATTGATATGCTATTGCAATATTTACCTTATATATGGAAAAATTAACTATAAAGGTCAAATCTTAAAAAGTATTTAAAAAATTTCAACAGCAATAATATTTAAGCAGGTTATAGCATTTTATAATTGTTCATTCAAAAAAATATTGATCACCTACTGTGTGCTAGGCACTATTTTAAGTGCTAGGGATACAGCAGTGAATAAAATAGTCCCTGCTTTCATCAAGCCTGTATTTTAGGGCATCCCTATTTGAATATTCTCTGAACAGCTAAGCCTAACTAAGGCTTAGTCTGAGCCAAACTCATTTCCTTCAAAGCCGTTCTTCAGCCTGAATTCTCAGCCACCACTCTCCAGCCAGCCAAGCCAGGGTCCTACATATTCTATCAGCAACCAAATCCTATCTGGTTTACCTCATAAATATATTGTTACTTCTGTCTCTCCTATCCCTCATTACCACTAAGTCTTTAGTTCAGTACCTCATCCTTTCTACCTGGATTGCCACAGAAATCACCAAGTTCTTCTGTGTACCCACTGCCCTTCATCCACCAAATCCATCTTTCTTTAGCGCAAGAAGAATGATCTTTCCCAAATGCAAATCCAATTAGTTTATTTTACTGTTTACCATTCTTTAATAGCTCCCCTTTGCTTTCTGCATAAATCCCTAATTTCTTAGCACAGCCTTTCTTGATTTGACCCCATGCCCACCTCTTCAGCTTTGTAGTCTATCCTTATGGAATGAGAAGGATACTCCCACTTATTCCTCTTTCAGTGAGTTTCTTGAATGATCATTTCAAGACATAGGAGCAATGAAGAAACATTTGCAAAGAAGGCCTATTTGGGTTTTCATTCAATAGTTAAGTCTATAGAAAGCAGCCATTTTGTATTGCCCAGGATGTCATATGGCTTCATAAGCTTCACTCCACCTTTATTTAAAACAACATCAACAAAAACTATAGTCCCAACTACTCGGGAGGTTGGGGCAAGGAGAACTGCTTGAACCCAGGAGGTGGAGGTTGCAGTGAGCCGAGATCATGCCACTGCACTCCAGCCTGGGCAACAGAGCAAGACTCTGTCTCAAAAAAATAAATAAATAAATAAAATTAAAAGTTAGCTTGATAGCAAGATCTCATAGAGGACTTTTCATGGGCCAAGAGTTCGAGACGCATTTAGCCCTCTATCCTACTACCTCTACATCTGTCTATAGCCATACCTGTGGAACATATCATAGCTCTTCGTAAAGGGGATCCAGATAGACAGTTATAAGCAGATTTATACTCATTTATTATTGTTTAGAAGCCTTAATATCCTAGTTCTTGCCAAGTTTGAAACTCTGTAAACTTCTAAGTAGTAACTTTCAGGATACCTGAAAAATTTCATTCTTCAAATGCCAGATTAATACTCTGGTAATATATTTGTAGTTTTCTTTTTTTAAGAGGTCAGGTCTCACTGTTGCCCAAGCTGCAGTGCAGTGACACAATCATGGCTCACTGCAGCCTTGACTTCCTGGGCTCAAGCGATCCTCCCACCTCAGCCTCCTAAGTAGCTGGGACTACAGGCGTGCACTACCATGCCCAGGTAATTTTTAATTTTTTTGTAGAGATGAGGTCTTACTATGTTGCCCAGGCTAGTGTTGAAGTCCTGCCCTCAAGCGATCTTCCCACCTCAGCCTCCGAAAGTGTTGAGATTACAGATGTGAGCCAGGCACCCAGCTATTTGTATTTTTCTTACTTACCTCTCCCACCCCTTTCCCAAATCACTCAGGAAGAATTCAGAGCACAAAAGACTTGCTAAAATTACTTTATGATATATTAAATAACATATTTTCCTTAACACTTTGGCTTTTGTTTGTTTGTGTTTTAGAAACGACTCAAATTATTGGTATGAGTGCAACATTAAACAATGTTGAAGACCTACAAAAGTTTCTTCAAGCAGAATATTATACCAGTCAATTTAGACCAGTATGTACCTAAGGTTTGCACTGTATTGATTTGTTTCGTATTCATCTAACTTAGAAATGAAAGTAGTAAACATAGGATTTAAAGAATTCTGTAGAGTAGTGAAGGGGCATATTTTACTCACCATGACTATATGCTAATAAGAGGTTGTGTATAGAGAATTTAAGAGTTTGTGTATAGGTCAGGGATCTTGGGTTGGGTCACTAATGTATCTATAGCCTGGCCCACAGGCTGTCAATGAACGTTCATTGAATGAGTTTTCCCAAACCCCCATTTTATTTTTTCACTTCTTATTCTGTAAACTAAATTTTTTTATTTGGCAAAATTTTAGTGAGACATGTTTTGAGTTATTGGCACATTAAAAAATATATCTTAAAATTTAAAATATTTTTAAATATTTATATGTTAGTAGTTATAATACTTTTTTAATAAGTTAAGGCTTCACATGGATTTACATATAAACTCCTCAACAGCAGCATTCCCAAAATGCTTGAAGAAAGTAAACAAATGTAATTTGTGGTTATTTGAAAATAGCTTGTAATGTATATATATTTTTGTGTGCACTACTAGTGTGTATGTTTTGTGCCTCAATAGTTTTTCAGTGTCTAAATAGGTTTTCAGAAAATATTTTTTTAATTGCCAAATTTTAATTTGAAATTTGATGTTTTAGCTGGGTGCAGTGGCTCACACCTGCAATGCCAACACTTTAAGAGGCCGGGGCATGAGAATTGCTTGAGTCCAGGAGTTCAAGACCAGCCTGGGCAACATGGCGAGACCCCTGTCTCTACAAAAAATTAAAAAATTAGGGCAGCCAGGCGCGGTGGCTCACACCTGTAATCCCAGCACTTTGGGAGGCCGAGGTGGGCAGATCACGAGGTCAAGAGATCGAGACCATCCTGGCCAACATGGTGAAACCCCGACTCTACTAAAAAATACAAAAATTAGCAGGGCATGGTGACGCACGCCTGTAGTCCCAGCTACTCTGGAGGCTGAGGCAGGAGAATCGCTTGAACCCAGTGGGGCGAAGGTTGCAGCAAGCCGAGATTGCGCCACTGCACTCCAGCCTTGCAAGAGAGAGAAAAAAAAAATTAGAGCATATTAGCACTCACATATAGTCCCAGCTACTTGAGAGGGTGAGATGGGAGGATCACTTAAGCCCAGAAGGTTGAGGATACAGTAAGCTGTGTTTGTGCCGCTACACCCCAGCCTGGACTACAGAGTGAGACCCTGTCTCAAAAAAAAAAAAAAAAAAAAAAAAATTGATGTTTTTACATTTGAACCAGATAGGAACATTTTCAAGAGATATTTTTTAACTTAATTGCCACAGTAGACATTGTTATTGTTATTATAAAATGCAATGAGCTGTGTTTACAAACTGTTTTTGTCGACAAATAAAGAAAAATAGTGTGGTGGTATTTAGAATTAAAACTGATGAATAATAAGACAGAAAGTTTTGGCTGGACACGGTGGCTCATGCATGTAATCCTAGCACTTTGAGAGGCTGTGGCAAGAGGATCGCTTGAGCCCAGGAGTTCAAGACCAGCCTCAGCAACATAGAGGAACCCCATCTCTATAAAAATTAGCCTGGCGTGGTAGCGCATGCCTGTCATCCCAGCTACTCAGGAGGCTGAGGTAGGAGGATAGCATGAGCCCTGGAGGTTGAGGCTGCAGTGGGCTGTGATCATGCTACTGCACTCCAAGCCTGGGTGATAGAGTGAGACCCTGTCTCAAAAAAAAAAAAAAAAAAAAGACAAAGTTTTAGATCTTGAGACATAAAACAGATGATACCTTAGTAAAAGTTAAGAACACCAAGACTCACACTTTTTGTGACAAATACAGAAGTGTGTGGTTTCTTTTTTGGATATGATGTTTACTGAATTCAAACATATTTCTTCAAGGATATTGATCTCTATTTTGATTTTAAGGGAAAAAGAGACCAAAACAGAAGAAGAAGAAATGGTAAAGCAAGAACTTTTAAGTTGAAGCATGTTTTATGTATCTTAGAAAAGCTAAACTCTTTTATAGCTGTCCTTTCTTAACCTATTTTACAATATTTAAAACACTGGAAAGATGAATTTATATGTCGTATTAATTGCAAATGTCCTTTTAATTCAAGGTTGAGTTAAAAGAATATCTGAAAATAAATGATACAATATATGAAGTTGACAGCAAAGCTGAGAATGGCATGACTTTTTCACGTCTTCTTAATTATAAGGTAACATTGATAACATTTAAATTCCAGGTTACCAGACTTTGTGTCTGGGGCACAACAAGAGTTTCCAATGGATTCCGTAGAATAGTCTAGATTTTTCAGAGAAACAGCTGATGCTTGACATTTGTTGGACACCATGCAGACTGCCAGTTCAAGATAGCTCGTTTCCAGTTTCAACATTAGATCACACCATATTCTTTTCTATGACATCATATCTTTGTGAAGTTGGGGTTTTTACAGTTGCTGTAAGCAAGTACCGTGTGAAAATCAATCTGGAACAGAAGAGAATAGCTGTGTCCAGTCTTATTTCAGATTTTGAAAGACAGTACCAAGTTGTGCACACATCCCATTAGTGAGCTGTTGTGGTTATTTAAGAATGAAATAAAAATATTTTTTCACTCAACTGATGTGTATTATTTATTCTAACAGCTACTAAATTGTGAGGAAGTACGTATTTATTAAGTTGTTTGGACCTCACTATTTAATTAACAAAACTGTAAAGTATTTCTTTGGGCCCTGGGGCTGTGAACAAAGAAAATTTGGAAAACTCTCCTGTAAATGTTTATTCATACAACAACAACAACAAAAGAATAATTTATGGACCATGTAGTTCAGATATTGGTGTATAAAATGTTAATGTCTACTATGTAAATTTTAGTGTTTTATGACTTGTATGAAGGATATTAAAAAGGGGAAGAAGGGATTATACAGTAGTTTTAGAATTCTGTGAAGATGTGTTATTCTACAGCTATGTCTTTAGTAAAGTTGAAGAAATAGATTTTAAATAACTTCACATTTTTTCTTCATGTTCTTTGTGTTCCTCATGTGACTACAAAAATTGTCATAATTCAGTAGTATGATTGAATCTGTGTTTTTGAAAACTTAATGGTTGTAAAGGGCATGTCTTATTTACACAGTCCGTTAACTATTATTAGGATCAATCTGTGTTTCTCTCTGTGGACTTTTTTGTTCTGCTGTGGTGGAGATGGGCATGTAGTGAGGCTATTAATAACATTAACTATTTTCACTTCTTTAATTTTCTTTAATTCACTTGTTTAATTCTAGGTTTTTTTTTAGACTAACTAGACCTAAGAAAATCATAATAACCTAAAAGAAAAGTGAGATTGAACATTTTGATGTTTAATATAGATTTCATCTTTTCTTTTAAATGATCAGATTTATTAAATTAGAAGTTTAGAATTATAGATGGTTTATTTACCTTTCAAATCACACTGGTAAAAAATTGACAGGGTTTCATGTTTACTAACCACTTTGTTCCTACATCTTGTTGTTTTGCAGTATTCTGATACCCTAAAAAAGATGGATCCTGATCACTTGGTAGCATTGGTGACAGAAGTTATTCCCAATTATTCCTGCTTAGTTTTTTGTCCTAGTAAGAAGAACTGTGAAAATGTAGCAGAAATGATATGCAAATTTTTAAGCAAGTATGTTAATATTTTTTAAATAGCCTGTTTTATTTTTATTAGGAATTACAGACTATGTATTAATTTTATTGGGCAAACACTAATTATGCCTTGCAAAACATCATATTAAGTTGTTTTAGTATACTGAAGGCCTTGACCTTGAAGAAAGAAATTTTAACTGTGAAAAATCACATGTGAAATAGCCAGAGAAACATTCTAAGGTGGCTGGGCACCATGGCTCATGCCTGTAATCCCAGCACTTTGGGAGGCCGAGGTGGGTGGATCACTTGAGGTCAGGAGTTTGAGACGAGCCTGGCCAACACGGTGAAACCCCATCTCTACTAAAAATACAAAAAATTAGCTGGGTGTGGTGCCTTGCACCTATAATCCCAGCTACTGGGGAGGCTGAGACATGAGAATCTGTTGGACCCGGGAGGCGGAGGTTGCAGTTAGCTGAGATCGCACTACTGCACTCCAGCCTGCGTGACACAGCGAGACTCCATCAAAAAAAAAAAAGAAGACCAGGCACGGTGGCTCATGCCTGTAATCCCAGCACTTTGGGAAGCCAAGGTGTGCGGATCATGAGGTCAGGAGTTCAAGACCAGCCTGGCCAACATAGTGAAATCCTGTCTCTACTGAAAATACCAAATTAGCTGGGTGTGGTGGCGTGCACCTGTAGTCCTAGCTACTCGGGAGGCTAAGGCGGGAGAATCACTTGAACCTGGGAGGCAGAGGTTGCAGTGAGCTGAGACCACACCATTGCACTCCAGCCTGGGTGACAGAGGGAGACTCAGTCTCAAAAAGAAAAGGAAAAAAAAAAGACAAAACCCTAAGACTATATGTATGAGAATGTTAAGTAATATTAGGTCAGTGATTCAAAACCTTGGGTGCATAGTGAATCATCTTGGAGGCTTTTAAAAATTCCAAAGTCCAGGCTACATCTTAGACAAATCAGAATCTCTGGGAGTGACACCCAGATATCATTTTGTAAAGCTCCCCAGGCAAGTCCAACATATAGCCAAGGACAGGAACAACTGGCTTAGTCAGTCAAAGGACTAATCACTGTTACCACTGTGGAAATGAATTGTATCTTCCATTGCCTTTTTTTCTCTTTTCCTTTTTTTTTTTTTTTTTTCCTGAGACAGGGTCTCACTCTGTCACCTATGCTGGAATGCAGTAGCACAAATTCAGCTAGCTCACTGCAGCCTCTGTCTCCTGGGCTCAAGTGATCCTCCTACCTCAGCCTCCCAAGTAGCTGGGACTACAGGCACACACCACCACTCCCAACTAATTTTTTGTAATTTTCATGGAGATAGTATTTCACCATGTTGCCCAGGCTGGTTTCGAACTCCTGAGCTCAAGCAATCCGCCCCCCATAGCCTCCCAAAGTGCTGGAATTACAGGCGTGAGCCACTGCGCCTGGCCTGCCTTTGTTTTCTTAGTAAACTTCACACTTAGTTGTATGGACATTTGGATATAATTTCCTGAGTAAGAAATGTGTTGTCTTATAATTTTGTAGTATCTTAATATTGGCTCTGTCGTATTCATAGAGATAAGTATGAAGTTACTTTAACTACTAACAGTTCAGTTTTTTATACACCTGTTTGTCCCATGTGTGGTTTTATCATTTTCTGAGATTTCTTTCAGCCCCTTAGCTAATGCTGTATCACTATTCATAGTCTATTAACCTGAATGCTAATCTAGTCAACCTCTACCTCCTCTTTCAATCCTACTATCATGGATTGGTCTAAGATAGACTTAAATTTATTGAATAGCAAAATATAAAAATGTTTGGAATAAGATGAAGGAGTTGCTCATTTTGGTAACAGTCTGCTTTTACAATGATTTTGATTATAAAAGCTTAAGGAAATTAAATTATCATTAAAAAAATTCTCAGTAAATCATTCATTTTCTTAGAGTAATTCAAGGTAATAAGATGGAGACACTGGCTAAGTGATGGAAACATTGTAGGATGTGAAGTTTCTAAAGTGCAAGTGTTTAGGCAGTGTTTTACCATGGAAGTATGATTTAATAATATGTATGTTTCCATCTTCAGAAAAGAAAATTTATGTCTTTAAAAAAACTATCCCCTATAAAGATATATGTTATAAAGAAAAAAACAGTTATAACATCCAGAGCAAAGGTCTAAACCTGGTGTCCATGGATTCAAAGGAAGTACAGGAATGAATTTTAGGAAATCCACGAACCCTCTGAAATTATATGTAAAGTGTTGTATTTATGTAAATAGTTATATTTTTCCTTTTTTTTTTTTTTTTTTTTAGACAAGGCTTTGCTCTTTCACCCAGGCTGGTAGGTTCATAGCTCATTGCAACCTCAAACTCCCGGGTTCAAGCAATCATCCCACCTCATCCTCCCCCATAGCCTGGAACTGCAGGTGCATGCACCACCATGCCCGGCTAATTTTTGTTATTTTTTGTAGAGGTGGTCTTGCTTCACTGCCCAAGCTGATCTTGAACTCTTGGGCTCAAGCAATCCTTCTGCCTCTACCTCCCAAAGTGCTGAGATTACAGGCATGAGCCATCGCATTTCGCCTTTCCTTAGTTTTGATAAGATTTTCACAGGGTTCTGTAATCCACAAAAAGATTGAGAGACTGCCTAATAGTTAATGAAGTCAGAATCAAAATTCTAAGAACATTTAATGTACTTAACTCAATGGAAATAGTACATTAAAGAATGTTTACATTAGCATCTACTAAAATGAAAATGGTAGAAATTTTGTCACTAAAAGATCAAGGGCTCATATTTCTAACAGATCTTTTTCATAGGGAATATCTGAAACATAAGGAGAAAGAAAAATGTGAGGTGATTAAGAACTTGAAGAATATTGGCAATGGCAACCTGTGTCCTGTTTTAAAGCGCACTATCCCATTTGGAGTTGCCTATCACCACAGTGGCTTAACAAGTGATGAAAGGAAACTCTTGGAGGAGGCCTACTCCACAGGAGTGCTCTGTCTTTTTACCTGCACATCTACCCTAGCGGCAGGTGTCAACCTACCAGCTCGAAGGTAAGAGATAAGTAAGTGTTGACCAGGCTCAGAACTTTTCCATTTCTAGCTTGCGAGGAGTTTTGTTGTTTTATGCTTTCTCAGTAGTGGATGAGAATTTATCAAATGTTCTTTTAGCATATGCTGAGTTGATTGGTTGGTTTATTTTCTTTAATATTTTAATGAATATGTAATGAAATATGTAATGAAAAATAACGTTAATAGATTTCTTGATATTAGAATTCCATCCTTTCTGCTCTTTATATCTGGTTTTGATGTTAGGGTCTATTAATCTGGTTTTGTAGAAATAGTTGGCAAGTGTTTTACCTTTTTTATGATATGAAAGAGTTTATTTAACATAGAGATTTCCTTGAAATCTTGGAGAGCTGATCCATAGGCAATTTGTGTCTAATATATGTATTTTAAAGCAGGCCCTTGATTACCTTTCCAGTTATTACCAAAGGTGTAGGCCTGTGTAATTGACTTCTCCCCTTTATAATTTATGATCATGGGGTATTTTGCTAATAAATGATCAATTTTTATAAACTTTCCATGAGTGTTTAAAAAAATATGTATTTTCAGTTGAATATGCAGTTTTGTACATCTCAGCGAGATCACAGAGGTTCATTGTGTTATCGGCTTCTCTATTTTCTTACTATATTTGATTCCTTGGTCTATCAATTTCAGAGAAGTGTGTTAGTCTCCCACTTTAATTATGTAGTTATCAGTTTCTCCTTTTTGCATCTCTAGAAGTTATTACTTTTTATATTTCAAAACTATTTAGATATACAAAGGTTTACTTCAAATATCTTATTGCCGAATTATACCTTTTATCAATACAATAAATACTTGTTTTTCTCATTTAATAATTTTGCTTTGAATACCAGGACTCATTTTTTTTTTTTGCCACGTATGTACCTTTTTCCATTCTTTTATTTTCAATTTCTGTCTCTCATTAAGTTTTCCATTTTTCAGACAATTGAAGAAAAAAATGAAAGTTATATATCCTGTTTCTATTATTCCAGTGGTTACTCTTAAAATTTTAAGTTGTAACCAAACATTTTTTATTACTTTAGAATTAATCAATAACTGTCCTCTCCTGAACATAAAAAGAGGCTTAGCATGTCCTTAGTATATTCTACTCTGCCCCATGAATGTTGCAATTACTTAGAATTTTAGTGCCAGATTTAAACATTTTCTTTCATCTTATGTAGTATTTAAACTTACCTGTAAATCATACTTCTTTTTTGCTTACCACTGCCTCTTATATCCCACATCTTTCTTCTCTGATTTTTTTTTTTTTAATTTTGCCTTCCTTGAGTAATCCTTTTTAGAATACCGCTTTAGGGGGTAAAACATTTTGACTCTTTGCATAGTTGAAGATATCTGTATTTTGGCCTCACACTTTTACACTTCACTAGCAAAAGAATTCTAGATTCAATTTTTTTCCTTTAGGGATTTTGTAAATATTGTTCCATATTTTCTAGAGGCCAATGTTGCTCATTTTTGTCTCTGCATGGATTTTCTGTTTTTCTTTTCCAGAAACTTTTAGACTTTTCTCTTTAACCTCCCAATTTTGTCATGGTGTATAATAATAGTTGTAATTACTACATTCCCCTCCCTTTCATGTAGTAACAACTTTACATGCATTGACTTGATACAGCTTCACAATAACTCTGTGAGGAAGGTCATATTTTATTACACACCTATTATAGAAGGGGAAACTGAGGCACTAAATAATTAAATAATTTTCCCAACTTTAAAAAGTTACATAACTTTTTCCCAACTCATTTTCCAACAAATGAGTTTTAAAGCCAGTGTTTGAACCCAGGAAGTTTGATTTTACAATCCCAACAGTACTACTTTTCATTCATAGGGCTTAGCACTTGGGTGGATGCTTTTAATCTAAGCTTTATGCCTTTCTTCTTTGAGTAATTTTTTTTCTGTTATTTCTTTTTCTTCCCATTATCTCTGTTCCTTGCTTTTATAATTTCACTTAGGCAGGGTTGAGGCCTCTTAGATTCAGCTTTCGTATCTCTTTTCTTACACATTTTTCAGAATGTGGAAGAATGTAAGCACACGTTTGTGCCATGTAATTTTTTTCAACTTTACCTTCCATATCAAAAAATCAGTTTTTTTGTAATCCCAGCACTTTGGGAGGCAAAGGTAGGAGGATTGCTTGAGCCCAGGAGTTTGAGACCAGTCTGGACAACATAGCAAGACCTCATCTCTACTAAAAAATTAAAAACTTAGCTGGGCATGGTGGCATACACTTGTGATCCCAGCTGCTCGAGAGGCTGAGGTGGGAAGATTGCTTGAGCCCAGGACATCGAGGCTGCAGTTAGCTATGATTGTACCACTGCACTCCAGCCTGGGCAACAGTGAGACCCTGTCTCAAAAAAAAAAATGAGTTTTTAACTGATATCCATTAACTACATTAACTGTATCCATTAACTATTTTCATTCATTATTCAGTTCTTCAATTGAATTTTCTTTTTTGTGAGACAGAGTCTTACTCTGTTGCCCAGTGGCCAGGCTGGAGTGCAGTGGTGCGGTCTCGGCTCACTGCAACCTCTGTCTCCTGGGTTCAAGCGATTCTCCTGCCTCAGCCTCCCAAGTAGCTGGGATTACAGGCGCCCACCACCACACCTGGCTAATTTTTATATTTTTAGTAGAGTCGGGGTTTCGCCATGTTGGCCAGGCTGGTCTCAAACTCCTGACCTCAGGTGATCTGCCCACCGTGGCCTCCCGAAGTGCTAGATTGACAGGTGTGAGCCACCACACCTGGCCCTTCAAATTTTTTATGAATTTTTAAATAAAGTTAATTTTTTTTTATTTCTAAGAACTCTCTTTTGTTGTTCTTTCCTTATAATAGTCTACTCCTTTTTTTTTTTTTTTTGAGACAGAGTCTCGCTTTGTCTCCAGGTTGGAGTGCAGTGGCATGATATCTGCTCACTGCAACCTCTGCCTCCCGGGTTCAAGTGATTCTCCTGCCTCAGCCTCCCAAGTAGCTGGGATTACAGGCACACAACACAATGTTTTTTAGTTTTTGTGTTTTTAGTAGAGACGGGGTTTCACCATGTTGGCCAGGGTGGTCTTAATCTATTGACCTCGTGATCCTCCTGCCTTCGCCTTCCAAAGTGCTGGGATTTACAGGCATGAGCTACCACACACGGCCAATAGTCTACTCCTTTTTTTTTTTTTTTTTTTTTTGAGACGGAGTCTCGCTCTGTCACCCAGGCTGGAGTGCAGTGGCGCAATCTCCGCTCACTGCAAGCTCCGCCTCCTGGGTTCACACCAGTCTCCTGCCTCAGCCTCCTGAGTAGCTGGGACTACAGGCGCCTGCCACCACGACCAGCTAATTTTTTTATTTTTAGTAGAGACGGGGTTTCACTGTGTTAGCCAGGATGGTCTCCATCTCCTGACCTCGTGATCCGCCCCCCTCAGCCTCTCAAAGTGCTGGGATTACAGGCGTGAGCCACCACGCCCCGCCAATAGTCTACTCTTATATTGTGGATATAATACTCTTTGGAATTTTCTGTTAATGCTAATTAGGATTTTTAAAAGTTCTCTTCTGATCCCTATATTATCTGGTTTTGTGGTCACTTATTCTGTATATTCATGTTATGTTTCTTTTATGTTATTAGTTTTCTTCAAGTATTTGGTAATCTTTTCTGCATATGAGATTTATAAATAAAGAGGAAGTTGACTAGTATAGGTAAACAATAGGTTTTTTCTTCCCTTTGGATAAGAAAGCTGACTAACTGACTATAGACTTCTGTATATATGAACATAATTGAAATTGCTTTTTTTTTTTAAGAGATGGGGTTTCACTCTGTTGCCCAGGCTGGAGTGCAGTGATGTAATCACGATTTACTGCAGCCTCAACCTCCTAGGCTCAAGTGATCCTCCCACCTTAGCCTCCCAAGTATCTGGGACTACAGGGGCACACTACCATGCCCAGCCAGTTTTTTGTTGTTGTTGTTGTTGTTTTTGTAGAGACTGCATCTCACTATATTGCCCAAGCTGGTCTCAAACTCCTGGACTCAAGCAAACCTCCCACATCAGCCCTCCAAAGTGCTGGGATTACAGGCATGAGCCACTGAGCCTGGCTGAAATCACCATTTTTGTAGGTCAAAAACAGTTGACATCTGCAATTTTATACAGTTCAAAATAATAAAAATTCATAAATAGATATGTATATGTTAGTGGTGTATGGTCATATTTTTTATTTATGGAGTATAAAGTCCAAACGCTTTGGAGACTACTGCTACAGATTGATCATAGGCATTGCAGCTGGGCAGACTTGAGTTCAAATGATAGCTCTGGTAATTACTAATTTTTTAGTTTAGGATAAGTCAGTTAACTGAGTTGTAATTAATTCCTTTATAAAAATGAAATAAAAAAGTATATTATAACTAAGAGTTTTGTAAGAATTATAGATAATATGTGTAAAAACCTAAGAAATCATAGATTCTTGGTAAACACTAGTTACCTATTATTTTGTGTTAGTATGTCATTAAATTTAATATCACAAATATATAATGAAATTAAGAATTTTTTAAATTGGTGCTGTTTGCTGTAGAGTATCATTTTTCATTAATTCCACAGAGTTATTTTAAGAGCTCCCTATGTTGCTAAGGAATTTTTAAAGAGGAATCAATATAAACAGATGATTGGCAGAGCTGGTCGTGCTGGAATAGATACTATTGGGGAGAGTATCCTCATATTGCAAGAAAAAGACAAACAACAGGTAATACTCAATTTGGTTGGTTGGTTGTTTTTGTCTTTTTCTTGGTTGTTGGTCTAGCCCTTTTATGAAATCATCTTTTAAAAATTAATTATTAATTTTCTTTAAATGATGCTTTCTTTCCTATATGATTAAGAATTAGAGTGGTTTGAAAATGTATGTATTTCAGACAATGAAAAAATATTTTTCCTATTTGTTTTTCTTCCATTTTTAATGAAGATAAATGTTAAATTCTTTTGTCTTTACTTTTTTGGTCTCCTTCTGGCTCCACAAGATTTATGTAAAGTATAAAATATTTATATTAAATACCATTTATTTTTAATAATAACACAAGGCATGGTTTTGCTTTAACCTTTATAGGTATTGGAGTTAATAACTAAACCATTGGAAAACTGTTACAGCCATCTTGTTCAGGAATTCACCAAGGGAATCCAAACATTATTTCTCTCTTTGATTGGTTTGAAGGTATTTTTCTTAAATTTTTTATCTTATTACTGTTATCTGAGACAATAGAGGTTAAAAAGTTATGCAATAACTTTATATATGCAACTGTGTAGATTTTATACTAATTTTTTATTTAATAATTTTTTCTTTTAATTTTTTTCTTTTTAATTTTGTTTTCTCATCCCCTTCAGTGATTAATGTAAATAATTTTTAAAAGATCATGGAATGGTTAGGTGCAGTAGCTCACACCTGTGATCCCACCTCTTAGGGAGGCTGAGACAGGAGGATCGTTTGAGCCCAGGAGTTCAAGACCAGCCTGGGCAACATAGCAAGACCCCATCTCAAAAAAAAAAAGATCACTGAATCCTAATGCTTGGCAAGTGGTTGGCACTTAATAAATACTTGAATTAATGAAATTGGCTTTTTTTTTTCTTAGAGATGGGGTCTTGCTATGTTGGTTAGATTGGTCTTGAACTCTTGTCCTCAACAGTCCTCCCACCTTAGCCTCCCAAAGTGCTAGGATTATAGGCATGAGCCACTGCGCCTGGCCTGTTTTGTTTGTTTGTTTGTTTGTTTTTTCTTTAATCTGGGACATGGTGATGAAATTAACTTTGGAACTGAGCGTGGGTGAACTTCCAAGTTGGGGCATCAGTGGAGAATCTGGATTTGAGAAGCCAGAAGCAGAGGCTGGCCCAGTGGGTTTCAATTACTATGTCAAAAACTTTTTCAGGGAGGAATAGAAAGATAACATGATGGTAGATAGAGGGATCAAGTAAAGGTTCCCCTGCCCCCCTGCACTCTTCCACCCCCAGTGTTAACTCTAATCATTTAGGTAGGAAACAGTACAAAAACAAAGTACATTAATAATCCAAAAACCAAGTATCAGTTCTTAAATATCTTAAAAGTATAATTTTAGCTTAATTGAATACTATATTAATAATGATTTTTATTAAAGTGGGAAGAAGCAATAGAAAATGTCTGTGCTCCATTATATTTTTCTTACCCCTTATATTGGTTTAATATGAAATTACGACTTAAATTTTCCAGTTGAAATAGCATCAGAATTGTAAGAGAGAGAAATATACTTATTGATTGACTATATTTTAGTATAACATGCTGATTTCATTGAAATTGGCTAATAAAAATTATTCTAATTCAGAGTCAGCTCTACATCTGAATACTAAATGGAGGGTTAAGTATTCCTTATGATTGCCATTGTAAGTTATAAATAGTGAATAACAGTGAAAGAACAAGAAATGGAGATAGGAATGAGAGAGACAAAAATAGGTAGAGATCAACTATTTTTAGGTAACATTTTAGGCAAAATATTGTCTGACGCTGTTTTAGTGGAAACTTGTATTTTTTTTTTCAGTTCTTTTTTTAATTTATTTTGTTTTTTGTTTTTTTTTTATTATACTTTAAGTTCTAGGGTACATGTGCACAATGTGCAGGTTTGTTACATATGTATACATGTGCCATGTTGGTGTGCTGCACCCAGAAACTGTTGTATTTTCCTTTTTTTTTTTTTAATGCAACTTTTAGAGCTAAAGGATGTTTTTACAGTTGGGTGGAATGCAGTGCAGGGAAGATCCCTAAAGGAGGCTGAGTGAGAATTAGTGAAAATTGGTTGGGGAGTAAATAGCACAGTTCTGGAGATATTGTGAAAAATTATTTAAAGATCTATCCAAAGGAGTTTTGGAATGAAAAATGAGTACATGTTTTCATAAAAAGCATGAATATAATAACTATCATCCCCCTAAATTTTTTGTTAATTTTTAATTGCCATTATAAATTTATATATGCAACTGTGTAGATTTAATACTAATTTTTTATTTAAATAGCTTTGAGGTATGGAAATGAGTTATCTTGATTAATATGCATTCAAGGTGATGCCTTGAATTAAGGAAAATGCTCCAATGATATCCTGAATTGTTTCAGATTGCAACGAATCTTGATGACATCTATCATTTCATGAATGGTACATTTTTTGGTGTTCAGCAAAAGGTTTTATTGAAAGAAAAAAGTCTCTGGGAAATAACTGTTGAATCACTTAGATACCTGACAGAAAAAGGACTCCTACAAAAAGACACTATTTATAAGTCTGAAGAAGAGGTCCAATATAATTTTCATATTACAAAGTTGGGACGTGCTTCATTTAAGGGTAAGAGTTTACCTAAATCTTATTGATCATAGGAAACACATTGGAAAAAATGAAAATTAAATTATACTTTCTTTAAGCTGGGCACAGTGGCTCACGCCTGTAATCCCAACACTCTGGGAGGCCAAGGGGAGCGGATCACTTGAGGTTGGGAGTTTGAGACCAGCCTGGCCAATATAGTAAAACCCTGTCTCTACTAAAATACAAAAAAAATTAGCCAGGCATGGTGATACATGCCTGTAGTCCCAGCTACTCGGGAGGCTGAGGCACAGGAATTGTTTGAACCTGGGAGGCAGAGGTTGCAGTGAGTCGAGATCACACCACTGCACTCCAGGCTGGGCAACAGAGCCGAGACTCCATCTCAAAAATAAAAAAATAAAAAATTATACTTTCTTTAAGTTGTATTTATAATTTTATATTAATTACATTAATCTTATTTTATAAGCTGATAACTCCTTCAACTTTCAAAAGTTGAAAAATGTTTTGAATTATAAGTACTGCAGAAGTATATAGAGAATAAGGTAGGCATCCCTCCTTCATGCTTCCCTCCTAGCAACCATACAAATCTTAATATTCTACCAAGAATAACAATTTGGTGTATATCTTTCCAGACCTTTACTGTACATTTCATTTCAGTGCATAATATGTACATATGTACAGTTTTAAGTTTTTGTCTTTAAACAAATAATCATTTATATTATTCTGAAACTTTTTATAAATTAAAAAAATTTTTTTTCTTTTTTTAAATATGGAGGCAAAATCTCGCTATGTTTGCCAGGGTGGTCTCAAACTTCTCACCTAAAGTAATCCTCCTGCCTCCCAAAGTGCTGAGATTACAGGCATGAGACAACACATTTGGCCTGCAACTTGCTTTTTTTCCTGAATATAATGTCTTAGAGATTGTTTCATGACAGTGAATAAAGTGTTGTGGGGGTTGTTTTGGTTGGTTTGTTTGTTTGCTTGTTTTTGACAGGGTCTTGCTCTGCTGCCGAGGCCAAAATGCAGTGGCGCAATCTCAGCTCGCTGCAACCTTCGTCTCCTGGGCTCAAATGATTCTCCCACCTCAGCCCCGCAAGTAGCTGGGACTACAGGGGCATGTCACCATGCCTGACTAATTTTTGTATTTTTAGTGGAGATGGGGTTTCACGATGGTGCCCAGGCTGAGGCTTTTTTTTAATGAAAAATAATACATGTCTGTTGTTAAAAAAAAAAAACCTAAGAACTCAGAATTATGTTAAGGAAAGTGCCATATTCCTGTCCCATTTCAGGAGCTACTACTACCAGTTTGATATGTATTCTTCCAAATATTTTTATGTGTGTATTTATTTTTCAAATGGAATGATCATTTAAATATTTTTTTCCAAATTACATTTCTCATAAGATATCATGAACATCTTAACAGATGAGTCTCTTTAAATCTATCTCATTTTTCTTTTAATACTACAGTCATCTATAGTATGGATGTACCATAATTTATTTAACCATTCGATGTTGATGGACACTTGCATTCTTTTTTATTTTTCTCTGTTATAAACAAGGCGCATGGACATCTCTATGTATTTTGGGGTACATATGGAAATGTTTCTCTGGATTAGATTCCCCAAAATAGTTGGTTCAGAAGGTATGTACTTATAAAGTGTTGATGAGTACTATCAAAATGACCTCCAAAATAGTTATATAGTAAGATGTTATAAGAGATTTTGAAGACTTTTTGCTATATTTAAGCAATTTCTACACAATATTTAAAGCCATCTCTTTGCCCCTCTGGTAATTGTGAAAGATTGAATATTTGTATCTTTCTTTTAGGAACTATAGATTTAGCTTATTGTGACATTCTGTACAGAGACTTGAAGAAAGGTCTTGAAGGACTTGTGCTTGAAAGCCTTCTTCATCTAATCTACCTAACAACCCCCTATGATCTGGTTTCACAGTGTAACCCTGATTGGATGATATACTTCAGGCAGGTGAGAATATAACGTTTTTCAACTTAGGCTACTTCGTTTATGAATTATTACATGCTGTTTTGTTTTGTTTTTTAGAGATGAGGCTTTGCCATGTTGCCCAGGCTGGTCTCAAACTCCTAGGCTCAAGCAGTCTTCCCACATTGTCCTCCCAAAGTGCTAGGATTACAAGTGTAAGCCACTGTACCCGGCCTATTATATGCTTTTTATGAAGTGATTATTCACTTTTTTTCTCTATTAAAATATATTTGGAATTGGATATTTTTTTCTTTCAGTTTTTAAAAATTATAATCTGGCAACAGCATTTATGGTTCGTTTAACTTTAATGTTACTTTTCTCTTAAATATAAACATATTTGTTATTGAAAAAAGTAAAGGTTAAAAAAAAGAAAAAAAGATTATCCGTGGTCCTATTTCCCCACAGAAAGTTACTGTTATGATCACTGCATTTGATAATGCCTAGAATGCAAAGAAAACAGTGAAAACCATCTCTGATGATTTAGAGTTTAATTACATGAAAGCTCGGTCAGAGCCAAGTATGATAATACATTAAACCCAATGACGTTAATAACTGAAAAGGAATATTTATTTTACAACCCATCACAAAGTAGAACTGTCCATACTTATTATAAAGCCAAGTGGTAACATACAGTATATTATGATTTTACTGTGAACAGGCTAGCTGTATAAATGTATATTAGGGCTGCATGTGGTGGCTCATGCCTGTAATCCCAGCACTTTGGGAGGCCAAGGTGGGAGGATCACTTGAGGTCTGGAGTTTGAGACCAGCCTGGGCAACACGGTGAAACCCCGTCTCTTCTAAAAGAATACAGAAATTAGTTGGTCATGGTGGCGCACACCAGTAGTCCCAGCTACTCAGGAGGCTGAGGCAGTAGAATCGCTTGAACCCAGGAGGCGGAGGTTGCAGTAAGCTGAGATCATGCCACTGCACTCCAGCCTGGGTGACAGAATGAGACTGTCTCAAAAAAAAAAACAAAAACAGAAACAAAAACGTATATTAGACAGAGGTAGTATACATCTTTTAATCACAGGAAATTAGCTTTCTTTTTAATGTCATATTTTTAAATCATTACTGTTTTTTTTTCTTTTCTCCATCTCTTCTCAACTTCCTGAGTTTACATTACTCAGGAAGTAAGTTTTTTTTAAGTAGCACTATATAATGCAATTACTCTCAAACCTTTCCTTCTCCTTCCCCTCAGCCATCTGGTATTAAATATAGTCATATAGTCCATGGAAACCAGTACTTGTGGCTATGCCTTTAAGTAATTCTAAAGTGTGTTATATCCTTGTTATATCCTAATGATGTAACTTTAAAACCTGCAACATTTACAAATATATTTATCTTGTTTTTTGTATCCTGAATCATGAGAATGTGATATCAAAAGAAATACTGGATTTGGTTCACATGACAGATTTTTTGATGTTTCCATCTATTTGCTCTTTTTCCATGTAGTTTAGCCAACTCAGTCCAGCAGAACAAAATGTAGCTGCCATTCTTGGAGTCTCTGAAAGCTTTATTGGGAAGAAAGCATCAGGCCAAGCCATCGGAAAGGTACCACATTCTTTTTTTCTTCCTAAATAATAAGTTCACTCAACACTTAGTTCACTCACTAAGTTCACTCAACAAAATTAGTACCATTATATTGATCTTTTTTGGTTTACATTTTTTCCTTTAAATTAGTATAACGTTCATTTTACTACTTAAAACATACCTGAGCACCCAAAATGTATGAATATTTTTAAACAACATTTATTTCTGGGTAGTGTGATGACCTTTTTTTGGGTAGCATGAAATGTTTTCATAATATTACACAATCCTGATATAAGTTCAATTCAAACGAGGAAATACATTTTCTAGAAACTATATTAGGCTTTCTATTTGGTATCAAGGATTCTAAGATAGGACAGGTCTGGGTTTTTTGTTACTGCTTTTGTCATCCTCAAAGAACTCCTAGTCTAGTACTTATATTACATAAAGCATTTTAGAAGGTTAAAGGGGATAAGCTAATACTCGTTGGTGTGATATATTTTGGTGTTTTAAAATTCAGTCTGCAGGCATGAAGCAAGTTATCAAATGCATACACTAACTTTAAGAGAAATTGAAGTAATTCTTTCATAACCATACCTTCGATTTCCTTAAGAGAATGTTATTTTCCCCCTTGTAATACACTTTTTTTTTTCATTTTAAATTTTATTTGGCAATCCAATTTACATTGAAACCTAGTTACCTTCCATTTTCCCCCACACCTTTTTTTTTTTTTTTTTTGAGGTGCAGTCTCACTCTGTCGCCCAGGCTGGAATGCAGTGGCATGATCTTGGGTCACTGACACCTCCACCTTCCAGGTTCAAGCAATTCTCCTGCCTCAGCCTCCTGAGTCACTGGGATTACAGGCGCCTGCCACCACGCCTAGCTAATTTTTGTATTTTTAGGAGAGACAGGGTTTCACCATGTTGGCCAGGCTGGTCTCAAACTCCTGACCTCAGGTGATCCACCCGCCTCGTTCTCCCAAAGCATTGGGATTACAGGTGGCTCTCAGGTTGGGAGCCACCACACCCAACCTCCTCTATACCTTTTAAATTTACATAGACAGTACAGATTTCATTTTGTAAAATGGAAGATGATGTTTACATACACTTAAATTGATGGTGCAGTGTCCCATGCATCACTGTGTCATAAAATCAAAAATATTGGGCCCGGCACAGTGGCTCATGCCTGTAATCCCAGCACTTTGGGAGGCCGAGGTGGGCGACCATGAGGTCAGGAGTTCAAGACCAGCCTGACCAACATGGTGAAACCCTATCTCCACTAAAAATACAAAAATTAGCTATGTGTGGTGGTGGGCACCTGTAATCCCAGCTACTCAGGAGGCTGAGGCAGGAGACTCACGTGATCTGGGAGGCAGAGGTTGCAGTAAGCTGAGATCACACCACTGCACTCCAGCTTGGGTGACAGAGCAAGACTCTGTCTCAAAAAAAAATTCCATGAGCCCAGCACAGTGGCACACACCTGTACTCCTAGCTTCTCAGGAAGCTGAGGCAAAGGATTTGCTTGTACTCAGGAGTTTCAGGATAGCATGGGCAACATAGTGAGACCCTGTCTCAAAAATAAAAATAAAAGTATCTGTAGTACTTAAGCATTCATGTTATCACAATTTTTAGATTGGGTCTTTTACTTTGGAAATGGCTATGCTGTTTAGACCTTCAAAATGCTGAATAAAAATATTTCTTAAAACAAACCTTTTATATCAAACTCTGAAATGTAAAATAAAAACAATATCATTAATTTGGAACTAATTATCAAATAATAATAAACATGCAAAAATCTTATTAGAATAATATATCTTTTTAAGCTTGAATCCAGAATTTATTTTTGTTACATTTAATGTAATATAGTCAACAAATATTTGCCAAATTGATACATATTTAAAATAGTATGGACATGAACTTATCTTAATTACAAATGGATTAATTACTAGTTTAATGTTTTGGAGGTATAATTTTTTAAAACTCTGGAGAACATATTTAAATACTTAAAATCTAATTGATTTCTCCACATTGAAAAAGAGGCCCCCCACCTGACCTTTTTTGAACATTCTTGATTTCTTGCAAAAGATTTTTTTTTTTTTTGATACAGAGTCTCGCTCTTGTCGCCCAGGCTCCAGGCTGCAGTGCAATGGCACGATCTCAGCTCACTGCAACCTCCGCCTCCCAAGTTCAAGTGATTTTCCTGCCTTAGCCTCCCAAGTAGCTGGGATTGCAGGTGCCCGCCATCATATACAGCTAATTTTTGTATTTTTAGTAGAGATGGAGTTTCACCATGTTGGCCAGGCTGATCTTAAACTCCTGACCTCAGGTGATACGCCTACCTCAACCTCCAAAAGTGCTGGGATTACAAGCGTGAGCCACCGTGCCCTGCCACAAAAGATCTTGACATTGGCATAAAGCATTGTATTTTGCCATATAATAATTATATCATTTTTCTTGGCTTAGGAAATACATTCTAAGAAAAAACCTACATTGACTCAATTTATAGTTAGTACTGAAGATGCACTAAAATTGGGAAATTAAATAGCTCTCTTTTCCTACTTGATGTTCAGCTGTCATACTTTTTCAGCTTAATGCTTTTAAAAAAGTGATCCAGTATCAACATGCAGAATATGTAACTCATACATCCTTCAATTTGTCACCGTAAGTTCTCATTTCATTCTTTTACTATGGTGGAGGATATAATTTTATATTTTATTTTATTTTTTATTATTTTACAGTTTTTTTTAAAATAGAGACAGGTTTTCACCATGTTGCCCAAGCTGGTCTTGAACTCCTGAACTTAAGAGATCCTCCTGCCTCAGCCTTCCAAAGTGCTGGGATTACAGGTGTGAGCTACCACTCCCAACCTCTATTTTATTTTTTATACCTACTTTTTCTTTTTTAAGTTCATCTTTTTGCCCTCAATTTTAAGAATTGATTAGTTTCTAAGCTAGCTATGAAATCCTTTATGCACAAATGTGGTCATCAGGCACCACAGGCCAAAGCAGGTATACAGAATCGAAATCATCAACTACAGGAAGCATTTTTCAATCTCTTTCAGGTGTTTTAGCTTGGACCATGTGGAAATCATAGGATCTAATATTTACTCTTAGTTTATAATATAGACAAGCTTATTAACATATTTATCTAAAGTACATTTGTCTAATTTATAATAATAATCACATACGTACACAATTTACAAATACCAACTAACTGTAAAAGTCTCTCTCACCAATTCCTTCCTTTCCTGTATTCATTTTCTACAACCGCCATAACAAATTACCACAAATGGGTGGCTTAAAACAACAGAAATTTATTCTCCCACAGTTCAGGAGACCAAAAGTCCAAAATCAAGGTATTAGCAATGTTGATTCCTTCAGGAGCCTCTGAGGAAAAAGCCATCCGTGCCTCTTTCCTAGCTTCTGATGGTTACTGGCAGTCCTTGGTGTTCCTTGGCTTATAGATGCATCCCTCCAATCTCAGCCTCCATCTTCACATTGCTGCCTTCTCTGTGTCTCTCTGTGTCTTCTCCTCTTATAAGGACACTAATCATTGAATTTAGAGCCTACTGTAAATCCAGGGTGATTTCACCTAGAGATCCTTAACTGATTGTATCTGCAAATATCTTGTTTCCAAGTAAGATCACATTCACAGGTACCAGGGGTTAGGATTTGTACATTTCTTTTTGTGGAGTGATGGAGAGGGGGTACAATTCCTTCCCTGTAGAAGGAAGTTTAATTTAGATTGGAAATAATTTGGTTTATCTTTTAACTTTTATTTATTTTTATTTTTATTTTTTTGAGACAGGGTCTCACTCTGTCTCCCAGGCTGAGTGCAGTGGTGCTATCTCGGCTCCCTGCAACCTCTGTCTCCTGGGCTCAAGTGATCCCTCAGCCTCCCAAGTAGCCAGGACTACAGGTGCGCGCCACCACACCCGGCCACGTTTTTTGTTTGTTTTTTTGTGGAGACGGAGTTTTGCCACGTTGTCCAGGCTGATCTCAAACTCCTGGGCTCTTGTGATCCATCTGCCACAGCCTCCCAAAGTGCTGGGATTACAGGCATGAGCCACTCTGCCTGGCCTTATCTTTTTATTGTAGTTGGAAAAATGATAATAAATTTTAATTAATCTGAAGTACATCTGTTAGAAATTAGTTTTGTTTCTATGGAATTATTCTATCCTTGCTATTCTGTAATACAACTTCAGTTTTCCTTTTGTCCAATTTTAATAACATACATTTTTAGCAGGTCTAGTAAACGAATTTATTTGATTGTGTCTTTCTAGAAGGTGGACAAGAACGTTGTCAACAGGCTATATCTGTCTTTTGTTCTTTATACCTTGCTCAAAGAGACCAACATTTGGACTGTATCTGAAAAATTTAATATGCCTCGAGGATATATACAAAATCTTCTCACTGGAACTGCCTCATTCTCATCTTGTGTGTTACATTTCTGTGAGGTAATTTCATTGAATATATGATATGTACTTTGTGCATCTTCTGGTTTTAACTGTTACTAAACTAATAAGCCAGTTAGTCAGTATGTCAGCATTTTCTCCTTGTTGACATATTCTGTTATTACAGAGCACTAAAAAACTATTTAAAATGTACGTTTGTTTTTATCTGTTTATGAAACTACTATTATGTACTTATGGTAACAATACAAAAATTCCTGAGTCAACTAAAACACATAATGAAAAGTGTCTTTTTGACCCAACTCTTAAAGCCACCATTAATAGTTTCAGGTATTCAGAATTAACTGTTAAAAACAACCTATTGATGTAGATTCCATGTGAATGTCTTTCACCTGAGTAATAAAAATGTCAGGTGTTTGGTTAGAAAGTTACCTATATCCAACAGCTACCATGTGACTATTTAGTACCATATTCTCTTTTTAAAAAAATTTAATTTTGACTGGATGCCATGGCTCCCGCCTGTAATCCTAGCACTTTGGGAGGCTGAGGCAGGTGGATCACTTGAGCCCAGGAGTTCGAGATCAGCTGCTTGAGCAATGTGGGAAAACTCCATCTCTACAAAAAATAAGAAAAATTAGCCAGGCGTGGTGGCACACGCCTGTGGTCCCAGCTACTTGGGTCTCACTCTGACGCCCAGGCTGGAGTGTAGTGGTGTAATCCAGGCTCACTGCAGCTTTGACCTCCAGAGCTCAGGCAGTCCTTCTGCCTCAGCCTCCTGAGTAGCTGGGATCACAGACATGTGCCACCACACCTGGCTAATTTTTTTTGTTTTTTTGAGATGGAGTCTCAGGCTGGAGTACAGTGGCGCAATCTTAGCTAACTGCAACCCCCGCCTCCCGAGTTCATGCAATTCTCCTGCCTCAACCTCTAGAGTAGCTGGGATTATAGTCACACAACACCACTCCCAGTTAACTTATGTATTTTTAGTAGAGATAGGGTTTCACCATATTGGCCAGGCTGATCTCGAACTCCGGACCTCAAGTGATCCACCTGCCTGGGCTTCGCAAAGTGTTGGGATTACAGGCATGAGCCACAGCGCCCAACCAATTTTTTAAATTTTTTTTGTGCAAAGGGTGGGCGGGGGTGGGGGGTCTCACTATGATGCCCAGCCTGGTCTTGAACTTCAGGCTGAAGCGATCCTCCAGGTTGCCCTTCCAAAGTGCTGGGATTACAGGCATGAGCCGCCACGCCTGGCCCATATTCTCTTGATTGCCACTGTAATTTAGTATATTTGCTTCCAGTGTCAGGCAGCTATTTAAAGCTTTTACATCAAATGTGTATTTTATAGAACAATTTAAGAAGGAAACCTTATACTGGTCATATGCATTTGTGATGGATTTAAGACTTTATTAAAATAAGCTTTCAGAATTCCTTTAAATAGCACAATAAAGCTTACCAGGCTTTTACATCCAGATACTTTTTTTATGTGTTTATAATATAAGCCATTTTTGCTGCATTTAGATTTCTTCTTATTGGGTGGCATAATAATCCTTTCCATATTTGTTTCCAAGTCAATTTTCTAAAACTTTTTTCCCATGAATTGTTTTCTAAATTTAAAATTTACTTCATTTTCCCTTTCTTAAACCTTCATATTCTGTATATGTATATGGCAATTAATTCTATCATATGTGCTAATGAAAGGAGTAAATAATTCAAAAATACTTGGCTTTCAATTGAATGATAATTATTTTAACAAATTTAGCTTTCTAAATATCTTTTACTTGTGCTGATTTTTAAATGTTGGTTTATACCCCCTGAGCACATGCTAGTTAAACAGAAGACAAAAATTATGGGTAATAAGAAGAAGCTAGCCTTTAAAATGTATTTTCTTAAGTCTTCTATATTTGTTGTTTTGTATATTTAAAGATGCTTTCCCTAATATTTTTTCCCTTTGTTTTCATTGCGACTATGAGGACTTGAGCCTTATAGAATTGTTTAAGTAAAAAACTCTATGAAGCATCAAGAAAAACAGCAATAATTTGATGACTAATCCTAAGAAAAATCTAGCTGACAATTTGTACTCTAATTAATTTACTTCATTTATATATATCATAATTATATAATTACATATAATATAAATATATAATTATATGATATATATTACATGTATATAATTTTTCAAATTATTATCAATAGAGGCAGGGATCTTGCTGTGTTGCCCAGGCTGGCCTCAAACTCCTGGACTCAAGCAGTCCTCCCACCTTGGCCTCCCAGAGTGCTGGGATTACAGGCATGAGCCACCACACCTGGTCTACTTTCAATATTTCAAGGCAGGGGTGTTCAATCTTTTGGCTTCCCTGGGCCACATTGGAAGAAGAATCGTCTTGAGCCACACATAAAATACACTAACAATAGCTTATGAGCTAGAAAAAAAAAAAAAAAAAAATCTCATGGTGTTGTAAGAAAGTTTACCAATTTGTTTTGGGTGACATTCAAAGCCATCCTGGGCCGCATGTGGCCTGTGGGCCACAGGTTGGACAAGCTTGTTTTAAGGTATTTTTTATTTTAAAAAGTTATAAATGGTATGAAATGGTACATTAATTGTGTTAGTTAAGATGCTTTTAACTACAAGTTACAGAAAAACCCATCAAGGTTTAAACAATAAGAAAAAATAATTATTTTATATAACAGGCATGCCAGAACTAAGGCAGCTTCAGGATTGATTGATTCAATAGTTCTGTTCAAGGTTTTCTTCTTTTTACTCTGCCATCTTCATTACGTTGATTTCTTTCTTAGTAGTCACAAGATGGCTAGCTAATGCTGTTCCATTCATCATGTACATTCACAGTGATATCCAAAGGCTAGAAAGGGAACTTTAAAATAAAATAAACTACTATAATAGAATATTGCAAATATCTATGACAAAATATTATATTGAATTCCCATTTACCCTTCTAGCTTTAACAGTTATTGACTCATGGCTTCCAGTATTTTTATTATTGTATTGTTGCATTGAACATCATGTTACATTTGAATATTTCCATATTTAATATTCATCTTCCAGATAAATTCCAGATGTAGGAATTGTTTTTAGTCACTTGGGAAAGAAAAACTATGCATTTTCTTCCAGGTATTTTGATTAAAATGACCAGAACTCTTTTTATTGACTTATTTTTCAATTTTCAATCTTTTCCTCATCCTAAAACCAGTTCCTCAAATTCCTCAGGGTCCTCCCCATGTTTCTTCACATCTGTTTTGCTTAGAATCATCTTTCATCTCTGGCTTAACTCAAGTTCCAGAACTTATGTAAGGAACATTCTCTCTGAGCCCCCTATCACACAAACCAAACTTTGAAATAACTTACAAAATTTAAATTTTATATATTTCTTTGTGTTCTACAGGAGCTTGAGGAGTTTTGGGTTTACAGAGCCCTTTTGGTAGAACTTACCAAGAAGCTGACTTACTGTGTAAAGGCAGAATTAATCCCTCTCATGGAAGTTACTGGAGTTTTAGAGGTCAGTAGCTTGTTGGTTTCCCAATTGAAATTATGTTGAATTAATACAGAAGCCAGGTTTTATTATTTTCTGAAGTCTTAATACAGAGGAAGTGATAGCAAGAGCCTTAATTGCTCATTTGTCATGGGAATCTTTTATTTAAAACAAATAGCTGTTATGGCCTTCCAGAAATCCGCTGTTACTAGATGGCATACCTGATGAAAAATCTCAGTTGTGAAAAAAAAAACATAACAGGAAGGGTGGGAGTGACTGTCTCCAAGTATGTTGTGCTACCGGTTGTCCTTAACACTTCTTCCTTCCTCCACTCCTTTGAAGAATTACCTTCTGTCAGTTTGGACTCAGTGCTTGTTTAAGATAATGGTGATTCAGTGGCAGAAAGGGTCATTTGTATTTTTTCTAAGAGAGTAAGAAGAAAGGGTTCGCAACTGGTTTTCCAGCTTTCTATTTTCAGCCAACCCTCAACTTCAGTTTATTCTCTGTTATTCAGTTCTTGAGTCAGAGGAGTTCTGCTTAGGACACACGCACACACACAGAGAGAGACACCAGTGGTCCCCTGAGTAGATGGTGAGAACACTGAAAGATATTGGACTTGGCCTGATGATGTGGCTCATGCTGCAATCACAGCACTTTGGGAGGCCAAGGTGGGTGGATCAATTGAGGTCAGGAGTTCAAAACCAACCTGGCCCACATGGTGAAACCCCATCTTTACTAAAAATACAAAAATTAGCCAAGTATGGTGTCGTGCGCCTGTAATCCCAGCTACTTGGGAGGCTGAGGCAAGAAAATTTTGTGAACGTGAGTGGTGCAGGTTGCCATAAGCCAAGATCGCACCATTGCACTCCAGCCTGGGCAACAGAGCAAGACTCTTTCTCAAAAAAAAAAAAAAGAAAAGAAAAGAAAAAGAAGAAAGAAAGAAAGATACTGGACTAGAACATTTTACTTGAGGATATGAGATGATGCCACCAACCTAAGTGGGTTTCTTTTCTTGATTGCAGCACACATCAGTTGACTCAAGCTGCATAGAACTATAGTTACCTTGTAGTCAGTTTGGAACCACCCAAATGCATTTTTAAAAATTCCTCAGTATTCTCATGTCTTGTCTCTTCATATTTACTTTATTTTATCCCAGTCTCTTACATGCAGTTTTTGTTCTTTTCAGTAAAGTGCTTAATTTTCTTTTTTCTAATCCCAAACTATTATCCTACTGATTTTTGTAACACTTTTCAGGGTCGAGCAAAACAGTTATACAGTGCAGGTTACAAAAGTCTAATGCACTTAGCTAATGCAAATCCTGAAGTGCTCGTAAGGACAATTGATCATTTATCAAGACGCCAAGCCAAGCAAATTGTTTCATCAGCAAAGGTAAGCAAACAAACCATTTTTTAACCTTAATAATCTTGCGTAGTGTTATTTCCTTGTATTATAGACATCAGAACAAAAACATTTCACATTGCATAACTGTTTATTTCTATAGATACAAAAGTACATACTCTTATTTGTGAGTAAAAATAATGCATCTGTTGTGACACAAGCCTTGCAAAACAAAAAAAGGACCTGCTAAAAAATAAAGAAAATTTCAGTGGTGGCTCATGCCTGTAATCCCAGCTCTTTGGAAGGTCAAGATGGGGAGGATGGCTTGAAATCAGGAGTTTGAGACCAGCCTGGGCAACATAATGAGACTCTGTTTCTGCAAAAAAATTTAAAAACTAACTGGGTGTGGTGGTTTGTGCTGTAGTTCTAGCTACTCCGGAGACTGAGGCAAGAGGATCGCTTGAGCCCAGGAGTTCAAGGCTGCACTGAGCTAGGATGACAGATTGAGACCCTGTCCCCCCGCCCCAAAAAAAATGCCAGGCATGGTGCCTCATGCCTGTAATCCCAGCACTTTGGGAGGCCGAGGCAGGTGGATTACCTGAGGTCAGGAGTTCGAGACCAGCCTGGCCAACATGGTGAAACCCCATCTCCACTAAAAATACAAAAATTTAGCCAGACTTGGTGGCACACGCCTATAATCCCAGCTACTCGGGAGGCTGAGGCAGGAGAATTGCTTGAGCCCAGGAGACGGAGATGGCAGTGAGCCGAGATCATACCACTGCACTCCAGCCTGGCTGACAGAGCGAGATTCTGTCTCAAAAAAAAAAAAAAAAATGGCTGGGTTCGGTGGCTCACACCTATAATCCCAGCACTTTGGGAGGCCAAGGCAGGTGGATCACTTGAAGCCAGGAATTTGAGACCAGCCTGGCCAACATGGTAAAACCCTGTCTCTACTAAAAGTATAAAAATTAGCCAGGCGTGGTGGCCCACACCTGTAGGCCCACACCTGTAATCCCAGCTACTCAGGAAGCTGAGGCATGAGAATCACTTGAACCCAGGAGGTGGAGGTTGTAGTGAGCCAAGATTATGCCACTGCACTCCAACCTGGGTGACAGAGTGAGAGTCTGTCTTAAAAAAAAAAAAAAGACAATTTCAAGGGTTCATTGAAGTATAAAGAACCCTGGAAGTCACTGAGCTCTGTCTCCCAAAGTTCTCTTCACAGGAATCCTTTCCTCAGCATCCCAGCATCTGGTCTCTCCACCTTTGAGCACCAGCACTGACAAGGAGCCTGCATCATCAAAAATTAGGTTGTCTATTTTTGTACACTCTTAGTGTTACAAAAATTATCCTGATATACTGAGGCTAAATTTTGCCTTCTTAAAATTTCTACCATTGCATCAGAGTACTACCTCTGGAACTGGACTCTTTTTTTGTTTGTATGCTGTTTTTCACATATTCAAAAACAGCTCTTATTGCCCCCAAGGGTTTCTCTTTTCTGTTGCTTTTATCTGTATTAAATAATCAAGTTTTAGGCCATTCACTGTCCTAGTTACCCTTTGCTAGATGCAACCCAGTTTGCCATTGCCTTCTGCTCCCTGTGGGTAAAGCCATTCCACAGCAATTTGAGATTGTTTCCTTCTTGATCTCAACTGTGGTTCTAAGTCTGAAATTGCTTGGCTTCTTTGAAGCTTCATTGTTTTACTATTTTCATATATAAATCAGAATTAGCTTTCCATCATTTTTTAATGGTGCTCACATTGCTTACATTACCTTAATTGTTCTTTACAACAAACCTATGAGGTGGACAAAGTCAGTGTTACCCCCAATTTATAGATGAAACCACTAAGATTGACCTTGTCCCGTTAAATTAGGAGTTCTTGGGGTTGGTAGGGATGAAGTTATAGTCATTTCCTTTGCTATAGCACCTAAAAAAAAAAGGTTCATTAAACTTTCACACACTTGTTTCAGCATTTACTAGTGATGTTTGCCTAACTCCATTATTTCCATGATGCTTATCAAGAGGTGATTTTCTAACTTCATTATCCCTTCTGGATTTATTTACTGATGTTTTACTGTGAGGAAAAGCTTTTCCTTTATTTATTCATTTATCAGTATGTGCTCATAGGTTCAAACATATTCAATGGGTTATAACCCATTAATAACATTACTTATTTTGGTGCTCAAATGGCCTCAGATTTGGCCAGTGGAAGCCCCTGAAAACTGGTTTGTGTGGCTTTTTGACCTGTCATCATCATTCTTGAAGTATTTTCTTACTTTCTGGCTGTGTCTGTCAGCATCTAATCATTAGGAGGCAGAAACCACACAGTAATTTGAACAGGCGTCTAAGGGGTCAACAGAACTTTAAAGAATTCAGGAAGGAATACATTTGAGAGACGGTCCACCCCCACCCCACAGCACCCCTGTGGATGGGATCCGGACTTCATTGCCACTGGATGCTGGGAAGTTTGTTGTGGTGCTACAGCCAAGGCTAATAAGCAGAAACTGCCCACGGAGTGCTGACAAAACTGCAAGGAAGCTGCCTACAATGTACTGTTGAACTTGCCCAGAAGTCAGCTCTAGGGCCCATGGAACTAGGGCACTAGCTAGGACCACCCTAGCTGATGTATGTCTATGTATTTTTCTATACTTATGTGTAAATTACTGAAGGCCATGAGCTCATACTGATAACCCTAATTCTGATTTTTCCACGTACATACGCTACATAACAGAGTCTAACTCCAAAATTTAGTGGCTTAAAACAGCCATCTTATTTTGCTCATGTTTTTGTAGATTAGGAATTCTGGAGGGGTGCAGCTGGGTGCTTCTCACTTGGGTCTCAGGCAACTGTAGTCAGAAGTTGACTGGAGCTATAGTCATAAGGCCCAGCAGAGCTGGATGACCCAGGTGACTCACTCACATGACCAACAGCTGATAATTGGAGGCAACTGGGGCTTTTCAGCTTTTGACTGGAGCAACTACATATGGCCTTTCCATGTGGCTTCAGTCTTTATGGCATAGAAACTAGGTTTTGAGAGGGAATGTCCAGAAAATGAGCATTTTAAGATATCCAGGCAGAAAATGCAAGAAGTCTTCTGAGCCAACCTCAGAAGTTATACAGTGTCATTTCCGCTGCATACTGTTGGTTACTAGAAAACCGTTAAGACCTAGATTGAAAGGAAAGGGGATCAGACCACCTCTTCATGAGAAGAGTGTCAAATAATTTGTGGTCATCTTTAAAATCTGCCCTCTGGTCACAAATTGTTTCTGTTCCTCCCACATGCAAAATATATTAACCCCCAAAAGGCTTTTCCATTATAGTTTCTATTAGGAAAAACTCAAAGTCTTTTTTGTTGTTGTTGTTCCCCCACTCAACACTCAACAAACACAACACAGACAGAAGATTTCTGTGACCAAATGTGAGGGATTTCTCCCCAAAAAAACAAGCAATCATTTCTGTAGCAGACATCAGCTGGGTGTCCTGACACTATCTAGCTGGAGTCTGGGCTTCTAAAACTTCTTACCAATTCAAGTTGGGGTTCCCTCAACCTCTTCTCTGGGTTCAGTCAGCTCACGAAACTCAGGAAAACATGCGTATAATAAAGGATATCACAAAGATACAGATGAAGAGATTCATAGGTCAAGGTATGGGGGAAGTGGCACAGAGCTTTCATGCCCTCCCTGGGCACAGCACCCTCCATGTGTTCAGCTGTCTGGAAGCTCTGTGAATCCTGTACTCTTAGACCTCTTATGGAAACTTTATTGGGTTGGCATGATTGACAATCATGTAGAAATGTGACTGGACAGAAAGGGTATGATTTATTAATAATACTAACAGATTGAGTGGGGAAACCCAGCAAGACCCGTCTGTTCAGATTCTTCTGGCCTCTCTGTGCAGCATTCCTTTCTTCAGAGTATGGGGCAGGACACTCTGGGATGAGGGTCTTTTTACTTGTTTTTGGAGACAGGGTCTTGCTCTGTTGCCCAGGCTGGAGTGCAATGGCACAATCATAGATCACTGCAGCCTTCCCCTCCCAGGCTCAAGCAGTTCTCCCATCTCAGCCTCATGAGTAGCTAGGAATAGAGACAGGTGCCACGCCTGGCTAATGTTTTTAATTTTTAATAGAGACAAGGTTTTGCTATGTTGCCCAGGCTGGTCTTGAACTCCGGGCCTCAAGCAATCCTTCCATCTTGGCTTCCCAAAGTGTTGGGATTACAACATGAGCCACTGCACCCAGCCTGGAATGAGGGTTTTAAGACCCAATGATCAGATTAGAGTTCTGCCTTAGGCAGGCAAAAGGAGGGCAGAAGAAGGTCAGAGAGAGAAATTCTGTTTTCTGAGGTCTAAAGTGCCCCATCATTGTAAGAAGGGCTGTGGGAGTTATGAGCCAGGAACCGTGGATGAAGACCAATATATGTCTATCATAATATCACAGCATCAGACTCAGATCCAGTATTCTAAATCAAGTCCGAGTGTGAGTGATACACCTTCAGTACAGTTTCACAAGTTACAGTTCTTCTTAATCTGAAGACCAGTGAACTAAAGAGACACTACATAAAA
Organism: Homo sapiens; assembly: GCF_000001405.40. Lineage (NCBI taxonomy): Eukaryota > Metazoa > Chordata > Mammalia > Primates > Hominidae > Homo > Homo sapiens. The sequence continues at coordinate 83,412,223 of NC_000004.12, read as the reverse complement.
CAGTGAAACTAGAAATAGGATAACCATAGTATACTCTCATTCATAAAGAAGGAAAATGGGTAGTGCACAGCAGCAGTTCTGAAATCCAGCCAGTCATATGTGGCCAGTTCCTTAATTATGTCCCAGTTCTTCTCTCTGGGAATGGTTTTTCTTGGCTTTGGGTTCTCTCATTTGAGTCATTCTCCCTTTTCCATAAGCAATAAACCCATGTTTGCTGCTAGGTAGCTTTCTCAATGTGCTTCCTATATGTAGTTCAAGAATATTGAAGTTCAAGAGTTCAGGCTCAGGTGTAGTGGCTCACACCTGTAATCCCAGCACTTTGAGAGACCAGAGTGGGAGAATCACTTAAGGCCAGGAGTTTGAGGTCAGCCTGGGCAACATAGCAAGACCCTGTTCCTACAAAAGAAATTTTTTTTTTTAATTAGCCAGGCATGGTGATGTGTGCCTGTGGTACTCATGAGGCTGCAATGGGAGGATCATTTGAGCCTGGGAGATGAAGGCTGCAATCAGCTATGATCATGCCACTGCACTCCAACCTGGGCAACAAAGCGAGACCTTATCTCTATTTTATTTTTAATTTAATTAAATTAATTAATTTTATTTATTTATTTATTTATTTTGAGACAGGGTCTGACTCTGTCACCCAGGCTGGAGTGCAGTAGCATGATCTTGGCTTGCTGCAGCCTTAACCTCCCAGGCTCAAGCAATCCTCCTACTTCAGCCTCCCAAGTAACTGCGACCACAGGCGGGCACCACTATGCCTAACTAAATTACCTTTTTAAATTTATTTTTCACCATGCTGCCCAGGCTGGTCTCCAACTCCTGAGCTCAAGTGATCCACCCTCCTCAGCCTCCCAAAATGCTGGGATTACGAGTGAGCCACCATGCCTGGGGGAGACCCTATCTCTAAATTTAAAAAAAAAAAAGTTCAAAGGCACTTGATGTTTTGTATTGTCTGTCTCTTTTTATTCAATCTAGTATAATATCTTTTAAAACACTGCAGTTTCTTATTTGTCTATTTATAATCTCTATGTTGCTTGACTTTCTTTTTTTTTTTTTTTTTTTTGAGACAAGGTCTCCCTCTCACTCCAACTGGAATGCAGTGGCACAATCATGCCTCACTGCAACCTTAGCCTCCCAAGCTCAGGTGATCCTCCCACTTCAGCCTCCCAAGTAGCTGGGACCACAGGCATGCACCACCACACCCAGCTAATTTATGTAATTTTTTTTTTTTTTTTAGAGATGGGGTTTCTCCATGTTGCCCGGTTTGGTCTCGAACTCCTGGGCTCAAGCAATCTGCCCACCTTGGCCTCCCAAAGTGCTGGGGTTACAAGTGTGAGCCACCTTGCCTATCCTAGCTTGGCTTTCTTACAGTGTGGATGCTAGGATCTGAGGGGGAGGATTCACATGACCTTGGAATGATCTCATTTCAAGACCCCAAGGCCTTTCTTAAACTGAGACCTGTCATGTGGCATCATTTCTTCTGCATTCTATTAGTTATAAGTGAATCACAAAGGCTAGCACAGATTCAAGAGGAGAATTAGATCCCGTCTCTCAATGAAGGTGTCAAAGAATTTCCAATCATCTTTAATTTGCCACACTAATCCCATACAGGACTTGCTATATAGTCTTCCTCTTTTTCATATTTGTACTTCCTTTCTCCAATAATGAGAAACCTCATCCCTGTGTTTATTAATATATTTCTGTTTTCCTCAATCTTAGAATGCACTGAAAGTAACTGCAGAATTGTTAAATTATACCACTCCAAAAAAAACAAACATTCAGTATTTATTTACAGCACTTTTTGTCTTCAGTCTGAGAGTATATAATTAAAATAATGTGTTAAAATGTTACTTGGTTTGGGGTTTAAAAAAATCTGCTTCAGTGTGGCTGTTATACATTTGAAACACAAATTCTACTGGTATTCCATTTTATTTCCTCTCCTTCCCTCACAGATATTTTTTTAGGGGGAGTGGGGAGGAACTAGGTCTCTGTCACCCAGGCTAGAGTGCAGTAGCACCATCATAGCTCACTGCAGCCTTGAACTCCCAGGCTCAGGTGATCCCACCTTAGCCTCCTGAGTGGCTGGGACTATAGGTATGGGCCACCATTCCTGGCTAATTTTTTGTTGTTGTTGTAGAGGCTTGGTCTCACTGCATTGCCCAGGCTGGTCTCTAACTTCTGGCCTCAAGCAATCCTCCTGCCTCAACCTCCCAAAGTGCTGGGATTATAGGTCTGAGCCACCATGCCCGGCCTATCTCGTTTTTATTCTCTTTATTGTTTTCCTGCTTTTTAAATTTTTTCAGTGGCCCTAATTAGGTTTTTTATTTAAATCTGTTTTTCTATGGACACCCAGTTATTTAGTTATAGTTATTAGTTTTTATTTCTAATATGATTTTGCCTTTTTCTTTTATTTCATTCCTGAGCTCAGTCAACTTTTGTATCATTTCTTCCAGTTTTTGTCCATGTCGGTTCTTAGTTTTTTAACTTCTTATTTAGAGAGCATTTCTACTCCTCCTCATATCTCCAGATTTTTATTTGAGAATATTTAATTTTGTTTGGAGTGTTGTGTTACAGTTTTTCTGCTTCATGGTTTGCTTTCAGGAAGGGAAATTTTTATGAGATGAAGAGTTTGGGTTCTTATTGGTTTTCTTTTCTCTTTTTTTTTTTGAGACAGAGTATCGCTCTCTTGCCCAGGCTGGAGTGCAGTGGTGCAATCTTGGCTCACTGCAAGCTCCGCCTCCCAGGTTCACGCCATTCTCCTGCCTCAGCCTCCTAAGTAGCTCGGACTACAGGCGCCGGCCACCTTGCCTGGCTAAATTTTTTTTTGTATTTTTAGTAGAGATGGGGTTTCACTGTGTTAGCCAGGATGGTCTCGATCTCCTGACCTCATGGTCTGCCCACCTTGGCCTCTCAAAGTGCTGGGATTACAGGCATGAGCTACCATGCCCAGCCTTGTTTTCTTTTTATATAGTAGTTTTGTATAGATGAGAACTGCTTGTGCCTCTGCATATCTTGGACAACACAGTCATTTGGAATGATTTATGAGATCCCAGTTCAAGAGTGTTCTCTTCTGTCAGAGTAGCAAAGTATTTTTCTTTAATGGATGACTTGGGGTGGGAGAGGAATGCAAGTTTGTTTGTTTGTTTGTTTAATTTCCTTTTGCCCTACAAGATTGTAAATTTTGTCCTTTTTTCCTCTTCCTCTCATGGCTGAGCTTCCAAAAGGCACCTCCCTTTTCACCCATTCTCTCCCCTAAAAGCATTGCCTTTCGAAGACTGCCTCCTAGAGTCCCACATGCATTTTAAATATCTTCCTATAAACAATGCTTTAATCAACCAACATTCTTTTTTCAGTATTTTTATATTTGGGTAGGCTTTTTCTCTCTGGAGGTGATCTTATTTCATTTTAGACCCTCTATTTCCCTCTTATCTTGTTCATGTGTTTTTTTTTTCTCAACCCCATCTGGATCTCTGCAAACACTTGGGTGGGAGCTCAAGAAACTGGTTTTGGCTGAGTGTAGTGGCTCACACTATAATCCCAGCACTTTGGGAGGCCAAGGCAGGAGGATCGTTTGAGCCCAAGAGTTTGAGAACAGCCTGGACAACATAGGGAGATCCAGTCTCTACAAAAAAAGCTTTTTAAATTTTTTCTAATTAAAAAAAAAAAAAGAGGCTGGGCATGGTGGCTCACACCTGTAATCCCAGCACTTTGGGAGGCTGAGGCAGGCAGATGATGAGGTCAAGCAGTGGAGACCATCCTGGCCAACATGGTGAAACCCCATCTCTACTAAAAATACAAAAATTAGCTGGGTGTGGTGGTGCATGCCTGTAGTCCCAGCTACTCAGAAGGCTGAGGCCTTCTGAATCACTTGAACCTGGGAGGCGGAGGTTGCAGTGAGCTGAGATCACGCCACCGTGCTCCAGCCAGGCGACAGAACAAGACTCCGTCTAAAAAAGAAAAAAAGGCGGGTGGGGGGGAGCGGAATTTATTCTTCCACAAATTGGTGGGCTTTTTTAAACAAGTAATTTGAGGTTCTTGATATTCTCTGTATTATAGTAATACTAACACAAGGGTTTTGTGTAGTTTACTTATTATTCTTATTGATCTATATAGCTTATTATTTGGTAAAAATTCATTGACATCTTTCATATGCCATGTTTGGAAATACTTTTTTTGCTCATTATGTTGCTTTTGAAATTAACAGTTTTAAGTTTAGGAACTTGAATAAAACTTTTATTTGAAATACTGGTAGCTTTTTAAAGCATACTAAATTTTGAGGAATAATAAAATGCATATATATAAAGGATAACATTTTTCAGGAGCTAATTAAATTTTTGCAAAATTGTCTTAGATTTTATAGATTAAAAGTTAATTTTTAAGTGGCTGAGTCTTCAATAAAACAAATCTTTGGGAGAATTAAAGCTCCTTTATTTTTGGTATACTAAAAGGCAGTGATCAGCTAAAATGGTTTTAACTAAATGCCTCATCTTCATTGACTATAATCGTTTATTCTTAAGTGGCCATTTTTCAATCTCATTATAGTTTTAATGTCTAGATTTCTGATGTGTAAGGATTCAGGTGTTCAATGGACAGTGGTAAAATTGTTGGCAATTCTCTAGCAATGCATATTTTGGCCTCACGTCTTAATTTTTTAATGTAGATGCTGTTGCATGAAAAAGCAGAAGCCCTGCAAGAAGAGGTAGAAGAGTTACTAAGATTGCCTTCTGATTTCCCTGGTGCTGTGGCTTCTTCCACTGACAAAGCATGAAGCTATCTGATGAGAATTTTCATATATGAATTATTTATTGTACATGTGTGTTATTAAAGATAACTTATACTTTATAAATGAAAAAATACATTTCAGTTATACATTAAGAACTACGAATAATGTTTGAATATACCTCTTCCCACTAACAATTCATTCTTTGGAATACTTACACATTATTTCTCTGCTAAACAGACTATAGTGTCCACCACAAAATGAAATTCAACTTCATCAACATTGTGCTCAACCTTTTTATCCAGATCTTTCATTATTCTCTTACCCATTTCTTTCATCAAATTGGACTATTTGAAATCCCCAGAATTTTTCTTAGGATTTCCAAACCCTCCATTTCCTAACTGCTTTATATTATTTCCAATGCATGAAAATTATCTTTAAAATGCACTAATACTTCAAGGATTAACTAAAAAATGCTAAAATACTGTCTCTTCTATGAAATTATTCCAGGTTCATCCTCACCCCTACCCCATATCTGGGTGCTCTTTCCCTCCTATAAGCATCATAGACCCCGCATTTATACCCAGGTCTTTTTGCTGCCGCTACTTTATAATCTGGATGTCCAAGTCCTGCATGTGTGTATGCGACCAGCACCCACACACTTCACTGCACGAAGTAGGAATCTCAGAGAAGAATGAATACTACCCACAATTAACAATTGGAAGCTTTTCTTTAAACACAATTTAAATATTGCCTCTCCCTTTTCACAATCATAGCTCAAATGTAGATGACACTAGTGCAAGAAAGAAAGTGTTAACTAGCAATATTTATGAGTACTGAACTTGTTTGATTAATGATTAACCCACCTAAGAAACATCCTTTGGAAACTTTGCAATAGATCCATAGTCTAAGTTATTTGTGCCTTAACATTTTAGGCCATTATAATCTGCTAGTCATTTACCTAGAGTACTAGGTAAATACACAGAAAATATCTATGTGCCAGGAACTCTTGTAAGTGCTTTATATGAATTAACTAATTTAATTCTTATATTACCTGTACCTGTAAGACAGGTACTATTATTATCCTCATTTTACAGATGAATAAACTGACACACAGAGAAACTAAAGTAACTTTCCCAAGGTCATAAACTAGTTAGTCACAGAGCGAGGATTCAGACCCATGCAGCCCCAGTGTAACATCCACACACTTAATCATTATACAATAGTGTCTTGGTAAATTTGTCCATTTTATTCCTTCCTAAGTGTTCCTTACACCTGTCCTTGATTTTATCTTTAGCATTACATTCCATCATGCTTGCCCCACTCCCATCCCTGCATTTCCTTACATATGTCAAAGTATGGCATCCTAATGTCCTAGTAGAATTCTGGGCTTCGCCGCACATGTTACATTTGTTGCAGCTAAAAAGATTGTGAAACAGCAGCTGGCTAGCCTGCTGGCTGTTTGGACCAGCCTCTGAGTTGCATTCACAATGGGCCATAGTCCAGTCTTGAGGATTTTTTTAAAGTCTAGAAACCCCAGGTTTACTAGTTAAGTAAAGCTCTGATTCTTTTTTTTTTTTTTTTTTTTTTTTTGAGATGTTAGGGTCTTGCTTTGTCACCTAGTTCGAGGCTCACTCCCGGGCTCAAGTGATTTTCCCACCTCAGCCTCCCAAGTAGCTGGGACTACAGGTGCGTGTCACCGCCCAGCTAATTTTTGTAGAGAAGGAATTTTGCCATGTTGCCCATGCTGTTCTCAAACTCCTGGGCTCAAGTGATCTGCCCGTCTTGGCCCCCAAAGTGGTGGGATTATAGACGTGAGCCACTGTGCCAGGCCAAAGGTCTGATTCTTGCTAACCAATTTGTAAAAAACTGATTTATAATCCAAGATTAATGTATTAATTTAAGATTAGAGGTGAGGGGGCAGGGAGAAGGGTACCTTTACAGTAACTTGAATACCTGTATCTGCAGTTCAGGACAATCTACACACACACACACACACACACACACACACACACACACACACTCTTCTATCAGTGTTTCTCCAGGTCAATCTCAATAAAAGATTGTATCACGTGTAATGGTGGGTGATTAGCCCTAAAAGATATTAAAATGTAAAGAAACTGAAACAGTTTAGTTCTAGAGAAGTAGATAAGTGGGAAGGAACAAAGTGGGGAATAGAAACAGACCTAAATATGTTTAAGAATTTAATGTAATAGACTGGGCAAGGTGGCTCATGCCTGTAATCCCAGCAATTTGGGAGGCCGAGGTGGGAAGATTGCCTGAGTTCAGTAGTTTGAGACCAGCCTGGGCAACATGGCAAAACCCCGTCTCTACTAAAAATACAAAAAATTAGCCTGGCGTGGTGGCACATGCCTGTAGTCCCAGCTACTCGGGAGACTGAGGCACGAGAATCATTTGAACCCGGGAGGCAGAGGAGGCAGTGAGCCGAGATGGCACCACTGCACTCCAACCTGGGCGACAGAACAAGACTCCATCTCAAAAAAAAAATAGTAATAATAATAAACATGGTTTTTCAGTTTTTAGTAATAGAAATGCAAGCATATGTAGCTTAAGCGAAAAGGGACATTTAGTGGCCATGCTCTCAAACAGTAGGCAGCAATAGAATTGGCCTTAGGGCAGTTAGAACCAGAGAATCCTAACACCGTCCATACTCACCATCTCTTCTTTGTGGGGCAGCACCAGACTTGCTTCCTTATGGCTTCAAGATGAAAGCAAAAAGAGCTCTCTGCTGTCAACTCTAGTTAGAAAAATCCCCAGGAAGGGTTCTCATTAGTCCCTTGTGGGTCCATTTCTCACCCCTATGAGCAGGATATAGGGTTTAGGTTTGGGTTTTGGTTCTTCAGAAGACAGAGAAGTGGGGTAAGCAGAGAAAACAGCTAATACAGATGACACTTCAAGTCACAGTGGAAAAGATGGATAACTCAGTGAATGGAATTGAGACAAATGGCTACCACGCCATTTAGAAAAATATTAAGCTTAGCGTGGACAGCATGGCAAGACCCCGTCTCTACAAAAAATTAAAAAATTAGCTAGGCTTGGTGGCGCATACTTGTGGTCCCAGCTCCTTAGGAGGCTGTGGTGGGAGGATCACTTGAGCCTGGGAGTATGAGGCTAGAGTGAGCTGAGATCACATGCTACTGCACTCCAGCCTGGGCAATAGAGCAAGACCCTCTCTCTCTCTCTCTACATATATGTATATTGAGCACTCTATCTATAATATATATTTTATATTATAAATATAAATAGAGAGCTGATTTCTAGCTATTGCTTTAAACCAAATTAAACTTTAGGCAAATCAAAGATTCAAATGTGGAATTTTTGAAGGTGTCATCTGACTATGCTGAAGCATCAAAGAATGTATCTGCAGTTTCTTCTTATAAGGCTTTAAAACAGTAAAATGTCAGTAATTCCAGTGTGGTGTCAGGTTTTATTATTTTTTCTTTTTTTTTTAATTATGCTTTAACTTTTAGGGTACATGTGCACAACGTGCAGGTTAATTACATATGTATACATGTGCCATACTGGTGTGCTGCACCCATCAACTCATCATTTAACATTAGGTATATCTCCTAATGCTATCCCTCCCCACTTCCCCAACCCCACAACAGGCCCCGGTGTGTGATGTTCCCCTTCCTGTGTCCATGTGTTCTCATTGTTCAATTCCCACCTATGAGTGAGAACATGCGGTGTTTGGTTTTTTGTCCTTGCGATAGTTTGCTGAGAATGATGGTTTCCATCTTCATCCATGTCCCTACAAAGGACATGAACTCATCATTTTTTATGGCTGCGTAGTATTGCATGGTGTATATGTGCCACATTTTCTTAATCCAGGCTATCATTGTTGGACATTTGGCTTGGCTCCAAGTCTTTGCTATTGTGAATAGTGCCACAATAAACATACGTGTGTATGTGTCTTTATAGTAGCATGATTTATAATCCTTTGGGTATATACCCAGTAATGGGATTGCTGGGTCAAATGGTATTTCTAGTTCAAGATCCCTGAGGAATCGCCACACCGACTTCCACAATGGTTGAACTAGTTTACAGTCCCACCAACAGTGTAAAAGTGTTCTTATTTCTCCACATCCTCTCCAGCACCTGTTGTTTCCTGACTTTTTAATGATTACCATTCTAACTGGTGTGAGATGGTATCTCATTGTGGTTTTGATTTGCATTTCTCTGAGGGCCAGTGATGATGAGCATTTTTTCATGTGTCTTTTGGCTGCATAAATGTCTTCTTTTGAGAAGTGTCTGTTCATATCCTTCTCCCACTTTTTGATGGGGCTGTTTGTTTTTTTCTTATAGATTTGTTTGAGTTCATTGGAGATTCTGGATATTAGCCCTTTGTCAGATGAGTAGATTGCAAAAATGTTCTCCCATTCTGCAGGTTGCCTGTTCATTCTGATGGTAGTTTCTTTTGCTGTGCAGAAGCTCTTTAGTTTAATTAGATCCCATTTGTCAATTTTGGCTTTTGTTGCCATTGCTTTTGGTGTTTTAGACATGAAGTCCTTGCCCATGTCTATGTCCTGAATGGTATTGCCTGGGTTTTCTTCTAGGGTTTTTATGGTTTTAGGTCTAACATTTAAGTCTTTAATCTATCTTGAATTAATTTTTGTATAAGGTGTATGGAAGGGATCCAGTTTCAGCTTTCTACATATGGCTAGCCAGTTTTCCCAGCACCATTTATTAAATAGGGAATCCTTTCCCCATTGCTTGTTTTTGTCAGGTTTGTCAAAGATCAGATGGTTGTAGATATGCAGTGTTATTTCTGAGGGCTCTGTTCTGTTCCATTGATCTATATCTCTGTTTTGGTACCAGTACCATGCTGTTTTGGTTACTGTGGCCTTGTAGTATAGTTTGAAGTCAGGTAGCGTGATGCCTCCAGCTTTGTTCTTTTGGCTTAGGATTGACTTGGTGATTTGGGCTCTTTTTTGGTTCCATATGAACTTTAAAGTAGTTTTTTCCAATTCTGTGAAGAAAGTCATTGGTAGCTTGATGGGGATGGCATTGAATCTATAAATTACCTTGGGCAGTATGGCCATTTTCACAATATTGATTCTTCCTACCCATGAGCATGGAATGTTCTTCCATTTGTTTGTATCCTCCTTTATTTCATTGAGCAGTGGTTTGTAGTTCTCCTTGAAGAGGTCCTTCACGTCTCTTGTAAGTTGGATTCCTAGGTATTTTATTCTCTTTGAAGCAATTGTGAATGGGAGTTCACTTATGATTTGGCTCTCTGTTTGTCTGTTATTGGTGTATAGGAATGCTTGTGATTTTTGCACATTGATTTTGTATCCTGAGACTTGCTGAAGTTTCCTATCAGCTTAAGGAGATTTTGGGCTGAGACGATGGGTTTTCTAGATATACAATCACGTCATCTGCAAATAGGGACAATTTGACTTCCTCTTTTCCTAATTGAATACCCTTTATTTCTTTCTCTTGCCAGATTGCCCTGGACAGAACTTCCAACACTATGTTGAATAGGAGTGGTGAGAGAGGGCATCCCTGTCTTGTGCCAGTTTCAAAGGGAATGCTTCCAGCTTTTGCCCATTCAGTATGATATTGGCTGTGGGTTTGTCATAGATAGCTCTTATTATCTTGAGATACGTCCCATCAATACCTAATTTATTGAGAGTTTTTAGCATGAAGGGTTGTTGAATTTTGTCAAAGGCCTTTTCTGCATCTATTGAGATAATCATGTGATTTTTGTGTTTGGTTCTGTTTATATGCTAGATTACGTTTATTGATTTGTGTATGTTGAACCAGCCTTGCATCCCAGGGATGAAGCCCACTTGATCATGGTGGATAAGCTTCTTGATATGCTGCTGGATTCGGTTTGCCAGTATTTTATTGAGGACTTTTGCATTGATGTTCATCGAGGATATTGGTCTAAAATTCTCTTTTTTTGTTGTGTCTCTGCCAGGCTTTGGTATCAGGATGATGCTGGCCTCATAAAATGAATTAGGGAGGATTCCCTCTTGTTCTACTGATTGGAATAGTTTCAGAAGGAATGGTACCAGCTCCTCCTTGTACTTCTGGTAGAATTCGGCTGTGAATCCATCTGGACCTTTTTTTTGGTTGGTAAACTATTAATTATTGCCTCGATTTCAGAGCCTGTTATTGGCCTATTCAGACATTGAACTTTTTCCTAGTTTAGTCTTGGTAGGGTGTATGTGTCGAGGAATTTATCCATTTCTTCTAGATTTTCTAGTTTATTTGCATAGAGGTGTTTATGGTATTCTCTGATGGTAGTTTGTATTTCTGTGGGATTGGTGGTGATATCCCCTTTATCATTTTTTATTGCATCTATTTGATTCTTCTCTCCTTTCTTCTTTATTAGTCTTGCTAGCGGTCTATGAATTTTGTTGATCTTTTCAAAAAACCAGCTCCTGGATTCATTGATTTTTTGAAGGGTTTTTTGTGTCTCTATTTCCTTCAGTTCTGCTCTGATCTTAGTTATTTCTTGCCCTCTGCTAGCTTTTGAATGTGTTTGCTCTTGCTTCTCTAGTTCTTTTAATTGTGATGTTAGGGTGTTGATTTTAGCTCTTTCCTGCTCTCTCTTGTGGGCATTTAGTGCTATAAATTTCCCTCTACACACTGCTTTGAATGCGTCCCAGAGATTCTGGTATGTTGTGTCTTTGTTCTCGTTGGTTTCAAAGAACATCTTTATTACTGCCTTCATTTTGTTAGGTACCCAGTAGTCATTCAGGAGCAGGTTGTTCAGTTTCCTTGTAGTTGAGCGCTTTCGAGTGAGTTTCTTAATCCTGAGTTCTAGTTTGATTGCACTGTGGTCTGAGAGACAGTTTGTTATAATTTCTGTTCTTTTACATTTGCTGAGGAGTGCTTTACTTCCAACTAAGTGGTCAATTTTGGAATAAGTGCAGTGTGGTGCTGAGAAGAATGTATATTCTGTTGATTTGGGGTGGAGAGTTCTGTAGATGTCTATTAGGTCTGCTTGGTGCAGAGCTGAGTTCAATTCCTGGATATCCTTGTTAACTTTCTGTCTCGTTGATCTAATATTGACAGTGGGGTGTTAACGTCTCCCATTATTATTGTGTGGGAGTCTAAGTCTCTTTGTAGGTCACTAGGGACTTGCTTTATGAATCTGGGTGCTCCTGTACTGGGTGCATATATATTTAGGATAGTTAGCTCTTCTTGTTGAATTGATCCCTTTACCATTATGTAATGGCCTTCTTTGTCTCTTTTGATCTTTGTTGATTTAAAGTCTGTTTTATCAGAGACTAGGATTGCAACCCCTGCCTTTTTTTGTTTTCCATTTGCTTGGTAGATCTTCCTCCATCCCTTTATTTTGAGCCTATGTGTGTCTCTGCACGTCAGATGGGTTTCCTGAATACAGCACACTGATGGGTCTTGACTCTTTATCCAGTTTGCAGGTCTGTGTCTTTTAATTGGAGCATTTAGCCCATTTACATTTAAGCTTAGTATTGTTATGTGTGAATTTGATCCTCATCATGATGTTAGCTGGTTATTTTGCTCATTAGTTGATGCAGTTTCTTCCTAGCCTCGATGGTCTTTACAATTTGGCATGTTTTTGCAGTGGCTGGTACTGGTTGTTCCTTTCCATGTTTAGTGCTTCCTTCAGGAGCTCTTGTAGGGCAGGCCTGGTGGTGACAAAATCTCTCAGCATTTGCTTGTCTGTAAAGGATTTTATTTCTCCTTCACTTATGAAGCTTAGTTTGGCTGGATATGAAATTCTGGGTTGAAAATTCTTTTCTTTAAGAATGTTGAATATTGGCCCCCACTCTCTTCTGGCTTATAGAGTTTCTGCCAAGAGATCAGCTGTTAGTCTGATGGGCTTCCCTTTGTGGGTAACCTGACCTTTCTCTCTGGCTGCCCCTTAACATTTTTTCCTTCATTTCAACTTTGGTGAATCTGACAATTATGTGTCTTGGAGTTGCTCTTCTCGAGAAGTATCTTTGTGGTGTTCTCTGTATTTCCTGAATTGAATGTTGGCTTGCCTTGCTAGATTGGGGAAGTTCTCCTGGATAATATCCGGCAGAGTGTTTTCCAACTTGGTTCCTTTCTCCCCATCACTTTCAGGTACACCAATCAGACGTAGATTTGGTCTTTTCACATAGTCCCATATTTCTTGGAGGCTTTGTTCATTTCTTTTTATTCTTTTTTCTCTAAACTTCTCATTTCATTTCATTCATTTCATCTTCCATCACTGATACCCTTTCTTCCAGTTGATCGAATCGGATACTGAGGCTTGTGCATTCGTCACATAGTTCTCATGCCTTGGTTTTCAGCTCTGTCGGGTCCTTTAAGGACTTCTCTGCATTGGTTATTCTAGTTAGCCATTCGTCTAATTTTTTTTCAAAGTTTTTAACTTCTTTGCCATGGGTTCAAACTTCCTCCTTTAGCTCGGAGTAGTTTGATCACGTGAAGCCTTCTTCTCTCAACTCGTCAAAGTCATTCTCCATCCAGCTTTGTTCCGTGGCTGGTGAGGAGCTGCGTTCCTTTGGAGGAGGAGAGGTGCTCTGATTTTTGGAGTTTCCAGTTTCTCTGCTCTGTTTTTTCCCCATCTTTGTGGTTTTATCTACCTTTGGTCTTTGATGATGGTGACGTACAGATGGGGTTTTGGTTTGGATGTCCTTTCTGTTTGTTAGTTTTCCTTCTAACAGTCAGGACCCTCAGCTGCAGGTCTTTTGGAGTTTACTGGAGGTCCACTCCAGACCCTGTTTGCCTGTGTATCAGCAGCGGAGGCTGCAGAACAGCAGATATTGGTGAACAGCAGATGTTGCTGCCTGATCATTCCTCTGGAAGTTTTGTCTCAGAGGAGTACCCGGCCATGTGAGGTGTCAGTCTGCCCCTCCTGGGGGGTGCCTCCCAGTTTGGCTACTCGGGGGTCAGGTACCTATTTGAGGAGGCAGTCTGTCTGTTCTCAGATGTCCAGCTGCGTGCTGGGAGAACCACTACTCTCTTCAAGGCTGTCAGACAGGGACATTTAAGTCTGCAGAGGATTCTGCTGCCTGTTGTTTGGCTGTGCCCTGCCCCCAGAGGTGGAGTCTACAGAGGCAGGCAGACCTCCTTGAGCTGCGGTGGGCTCCACCCAGTTCGAGCTTCCTGGCAGCTTTGTTTACCTACTGAAGCCTTGGCAATGGCAGGCGCCCCTCCCCCAGCCTCGCTGCCGCCCTGCAGTTTGATCTCAGACTGCTGTGCTAGCAATGAGCGAGGCTCCGTTGGGGTAGGACCCTCCAAGCCATGCACGGGATATAATCTCCTGGTGTGCTGTTTGCTAAGACCATTGGAAAAGCGCAGTATTAGGGTGGGAGTGACCCGATTTTCCAGGTGCCATCTGTCACCTCTTTCTTTGACTAGGAAAGGGAATTCCCTGCCCCCTTGCACTTCCTGGGTGAGGTGATGCCTCGCCCTGCTTTGGCTCACGCTTGGTGAGCTGCATCCACTGTCCTGCACCCACTTTCCAACACTCCCCAGTGAGATGAGCCCGGTACCTCAGTTGGAAATGCAGAAATCACCCGTCTTCTGCGTTGCTCATGCTGGGAGCTGTAGACTGGAGCTGTTCCTATTCGGCCATCTTGGCTCTACCCCTATTTTTTTTTCTTTTTAGATTCTTTTCAAGCTACAAGCCAGCTGGCCCATTTCTAAGATGCTTAGCTTCAAGATCTTTCTAATGTCCAAGCCTCTTCTGCTTTGCATTATAAATTTAAACAACCACCCAAAAGAGGCTTTTCTGTTGGAGCACACCCATGTTTTGGTCAAGTATGAGCCTTTTCAAACCTAGCCACCCTCTCCTCCAATCTCCATACTGGTATTTTTTCAGGAAGGACTAAGGTAAGGCCCTCCTGACTTTATGCTTTCATTTGTGAGAGCCCTTCCACACAAGCATCACTGCAGCTTTTGAACTCCATCTCATTATGACAAGAAGTAACACCAAAAATATATAAGCATTGTTATACTTGGTTTTATATAACAATTTCTAGTAATTTATAATCATGTTGACAAGTGTGCTTTTTTTTTTTTTTTTTTTTTTTTTGAGACAGGAGCACAGAGTTTCCCTCTTATTGCCCAGGCTGGAGTGCAATGGCACGATCTCAGCTCACCACAAACCTCCGCCTCCCAGGTCCAAGACATTCTCCTGCCTCAGCCTCCTGAGTAGCTGGGATAACAGGCATGTGCCACCACGCCCGGCTAATTTTGTATTTTTAGTAGAGATGGGGTTTCTCCATATTGGTCAGGCTGGTCTTGAGCTCCCAACCTCAGGTGATCCATCTGCCTTGGCCTTCCAAAGTGCTGGGATTACAGGCATGAGCCACCGCGCCTGGCCTTATTTTCCTTTTTTTGAGATGGAGTCTCACTCTGTTGCCCAGGCTGGAGTGCAGTGGTGCAATCTTGGCTCACTGCAACCTCCATCTCCCGTGTTCAAGCAATTCTCTTGCCTCAGCCTCCCCAGTCACTGGGACTACAGGCATGTGCCACCACGCCTGGCTAATTTTTGTATTTTTAGTAGAGACAGGGTTTCACCATGTTGTCTAGGCTGGTCTCTAACTCCTCACCTCAGGTGATCCGCCCACTTCAGCCTCCCAAAGTGCTGGGATTACAGGTGTGATCCTGCACCCAGCCAGAAGTGTATATTTTCTTTTGTTACACTCAATGACAATAAGGGTAACAATAAACTACCATTTATTGAAGGTTTGCCAAGTGCTGGCACTATGCTGAACACTTTCATGCTTTGTGTAGATGATTCCTTGCAGCCATCCGAGATGCTGTTTTTTACCTCACATTACCAATGTGGAAAGTGTGGCTTGCCAGGATCACCCCATTATCAAGGGACAGAGCCTAGACTCATCCCTGATCACACTGATAATTCTGTTTTTGATTGTGTTCATTTTCAGCACAAGCTACTCTACATGTGTTTGGAAAGAAGTGGATCAAGATGGCCGACTGAGCATATGTGTTTGTCCTTCCTCTTGCCTAAAATCCCATGAAATGATTTAAAATAGAGATTTGGGCAAGGCACGATGGCTCACGCCTGTAATCCCAGTACTTTGGGAGGCTGAAGTGGGTGGATCACTTGAGGTCAGGAGTTTGAGACCAGCCTGGCCAACATGGTGAAACCCCTTCTCTAATAAAAATACAAAAATTAGCTGGGCGTGGTAGTGGACGCCTGTAGTCCCAGCCACTCGGGTGTCTGAGGCAGGAGAATCGCTTGAACCCTGGAAGCAGAGGTTGCAGTGAGCCAAGATCGCGCCATTGTACTCCAGCCTGGGCAACAGAGTAAAACTCCATCTCAAAATAAAAAATAAATAAATAAAGTAGAGATTTGAAAATAACCCAAGTTTATAATAGTGCAGAAAAACAGTGAAGACTGGCACTAACACATAGGGCCACGATGATTAAAAAGCCAAATGGAGCATCCTAGGCCAGCAGGCTTTTCCTACTCCTTCACTGATGCAGAATAGTACACACTAGTGGCATTTCCTACAAAGCTAAAATGGTATCCTACAGGATCCAGCAAGGAGTGAAAGATAGAAGATAACCTCCACACACCCACAAGAAAAGCTACTGGCTCAAGCCCTCAGCGTGTTACCACAATCTGGTAACAGAAAAAGCAGAAAACAAGGATTCTCAGGTACTAAGTTGCTCAGAGAACCAAGAATGCCAAATGTTTATGAGTAAAGTCAACACCATAAAATAGAGACAGCAATTCAGTGAACAGAAGAATTGCAATCTAAGGAGGCAATTAATAAGCAACAGATCAAGATTTTAGAAAACCGTAATTAATATTTTAGGGTGGATGCTACATAGAAGGCAAAGATCAAATTATCATACCAGAAGTTAATATTTTGATCAAAATGAAAAACTCAATAGCTGGCTGGGCACAGTGGCTCACGCCTGTAATCCCAGCACTTTGGGAGGCAAAGGCGGGCAGATTGCTTGAGTCCAGGAGTTCGAGACCAGCCTGGCCAACATGGTGAAACCCCATCTCTACTAAAAACACACACACACACAGAAAATTAGCCAGGCATGATGGTGCGTGCCTGTAATCCTAGCTACTCAGGTGGCTGAGGCAGGAGAATCGCTTAAACCCAGGAGGTGGAGGTTGCAGTGAGCCTTGACTGCACCACTGTACTCCAGCCTGGGCAACAGAGTGAGACTCTGTGTCAAAAAAAAAAAAAAAAAAAAAAAAAAAAAAGCTGTATTAGATAGCAGGAATAGTCAGACCTGGAGAGCCAATTAGTGATTTCCAAGTTTGAGTTGAAGAATCTTTCTGAGCTGCATAACTATAAAACAAAAAAATTGCTAACTATGAAAGAAAACAATGAAAGGCATGGAGGAGAGATTCAGACATCTGTATGTCTAAAAAGCATACCAGAGGGAGAGAACAAATAAATACAAAATAAATTTCCCTGGAGCTGATGAAAAACAGATTGAAAGGGCCCCACCAGGTCCTGACCAATACCTAGACACATGGCAATGAAAAACCAGAACACTCAGGATAAAGCCTCTAGAGAGAAAAAAATAAGAACAGATTACAGTCCAAAGGAATGAGAATTCTATTAATACCTATATATTGCTGTGCTGAAAGACAATAAAGCCGTATCTTCAAAGGTATAGAGAAAAGACCCTAGTAATCTATGCCCATCCTAGTGTAGAGATAAAATAAACACCTTGAGACATGCAGGAAATTACAGAATTGGACATTCTCTCTGAGACTTCAGGCTTTTTGTGAGAGAGAATTAAACTAATATATTTAAGCCACTTAAATTTCTGGGGGGCACAACAGTTTATCCTTTTTTCAAAGGATGTAACCTATTAGAACTCTGTGGCGTATTCTTCATTGACTGTAGATGTCAACACAGCGAGAGCTATTTTAGCACAATTCAGAAAGATCAGATTCAAAGGAAAATATCTAATTTGTGACTTCACCTTTCATACCTAACCTGGAATAGGAATATGTCAGTCTCTTAGAAAGGTTCTGATGTTAGCTTTGTATCTCTGAAGCAGTCTTCACTCTCTAAATACAATGGAAAATGTCCAGGTTGAAGCAAGTTCAAGAGATAAATTATTATTTCTCTTCTACTTTTAAAACATGTAGGTAGGCGTGAAGATCACAAGAAATGCAATATTGACAAGCGACAATGATTTTTTAATGTTCCTCTTGTGAAAATGTAGGATCTATCAGGATATTATATGATGGATTCACTCAAATGTTCCTGAAAGACATTAATACATATGAAAAAGGACAGTGGGTTAAAGCTGTATTGCACCAGACTAAATAAAATGAGTGGATAGTTTTCTGAGAGCCATACCCTCCAGACAGCTGGAATAATCACACCAAAATATTGGGCAATTGTTTTCTACCACTGACTGTGCACCAACGAGGGACTCTGCACTGCATAGCAGGGAGGTATGATCTGCCTTCCCCGCTGAGTTGGTGGCTTTGAGCTCTCTGTTGTCCCTTATGATTTTGTTTAGAATGTTCTAAAGCAAACTTGGAGGAGAAAACCGGGTATGATGAATTAGTGGGCTTCATTTCTTTCATTATTCACTGTTAAAATAGTCCTTCGATCCTTGTCTTCAGAAGCTATGGAAGTGATATGTGGCCACTTGAAGTACTTCTTGAAGATGTGATAAATGTCTTTCAAGATAACTACAGGTAGGCAATATATAAAAATTTTGCTATTCAGAATAGGTATTACTCTGGAGGAAATAACTGGATTTTGCTTTAACTGAACCACATGTATTAAGTGATTAAACTCCCCACCAAAACAAGGTATCTGCACATCGATGGCAGCAGAAGTTTTTGTCTAAGGTCTGTGCTCAAACAAACGAGTGACCTAGCAGCACAAGTTAATACACTGGTAGACTCTGGTGTTTAAAATTCAGTACATTGCCTGGGCACAGTGGCTCACACCTGTAATCCCGACACTTTAGAAGGCCAAGGCTGGAGGATCTCTTGAGGCCAGGAGTTCAAGATCAGCCTGGGCAACATAGTGAGGCCCCCTTCTCTACAAAATATAAGAAAATTAGCTGGGTGTGCTGTTGCACACCTGTAGTCCCTGCTACTCATGAGGCTGAGGCAGGAGGATTGCTTGAGCCCAGGAGCTCGATGTTGCAGTGGGCTGTGATTGCAACACTGAACTCCAGCCTGGACAACAAAGTGAGACCCTGTCTCCAGAAATAAAATAAAATAGAAAGCTGTACATTTTGCATTTGAGTGTGTGTTTTGTTTCTTCTAAATATTTTAAATAACTTGTTTTTGCTGTTTTAGAATTTGAACTCAAATCTGTGAGATACCTGATGTAGTAGGCAGTAGAATGGCCAACGATAGAAGTTCAACTCCCAATTCCGGGAACGTATAAACATGTTTTGTTACAGGGCAAGAGGAAATTAGAATTGTGGATGGAATTAAGTTTGCTAGTCAGCTGACCTTGAGATGAAGAGATTGACCTGAATCATCTGGGTGGGCCCAACGTAATCACAAAGGTTCTTATAAGTGAAAGCAGGAGACAGGCGAGTTAGTCAGAGTGATCTGATCTGAGGAAGAAGCCACCAGCCAGATGGAAAGGGCCTCAAGCCAAGGAATGCAGGTGGCCTCCAGCAGCTGGAAAAGGCAAGGAAGCGGCTTCTCCTCTAGGGTTTCCAAGAAGGAACACAGCCCTCCTGACCCCTGTTGTTAGCCTAGAAATACCTTTTTCAGACTTTTGACCTCCAGAACTGTAAGGTAAATAAAGCCGTGTTGTTTTAAGCCACTACATTTGTGGTAATTTGTTACAGCAGTAACAGAAAACCAATATACCTGAAAATAACTCTTCAGCATCCTGGGGTTCTGTGGAACACAAATGGAAAACCACCATTCTGGAAGGTTCCTTCTGGATCTTAGCACATGAGTAATCTAAGTTAAATACCCATGACAGGATTATTTTATATTCCTGAAAACTATATGGAAGTTAACTGTGGCGGGGCGTGGTGGCTCACGCCTGTAATCCCAACACTTTGGGAGCCTGAGGCGGGCAGTTCACAAAGTCAGGAGTTCGAGACCAGCCTGGGCAACATAGTGAAATCCCATCTCCACTAAAAAATACAAAAAATTAGCTGGGCATGGTGGCAGGCGCCTGTAATCCCAGCGACTAGGGAGGCTGAGGCAGGAGAATGGCTTGAACCTGGGAGGCAGAGGTTGCAGTGACCCAAGATCATGCCACTGCACTCCAGCCTGGGTGACAGAGACTCCATCTCAAAAAAAAAAAAAAAAAAGAAGAAGTTTACTGTGATGGATACCTAACATATTTATTGATTGCACTTTTCTCCAGTGAAAAGATTTTATTTATAGTATTAGTATTATTTATTTATAGTATTATAACAGTTTAAGTAAAATGTAAAAGTCCTATCCTTAGTTGATTAAAACAGAACAACAAAGATCCAATTAACACAGAAGTTTGAATTACTAACTGCAGAGGAGTTTTTATGAGCCATCTAGTTAGTCTCTAACACTTTCCCAAACCTTTCTTCTCTTTTTAAAATGGGTAGAAAGGATAGTATCATAAGAAAGATATGCATAAAGTTATGAAAATGTAGGCTAACAGCAATGAGAGTGTAAAGAACTAGCTATTATAATGCCAAATGCTAAACGTTTTTCCTTTGTGGTAAAATATAATATTACTGTATGATCACACATAAAATTGGAAAAAAAATCCATAGGCAATAGACTACTTACTCCATACAAAGTGCAGCAACACTAGTTTGATTTTGCATAAATTTGTAAGCATTTTGAGAGTTGTAATAAAAGTTTAATGTCCATCCTAGAAATGATGAAGGGATTCAACATCATTTTACTGAAATTTGTCAAAGCCATTGAAAGCTCATTTAAAATATTTAAGTGCATTTTACCGAATAGTTTCAACATACTAGCCTGATACTAGTAGAAGGCAGGAGGTGGAATACTTGGTCCTTATTTCTTTTAGGAGTAGTGAAATTTTGTTACCCAGGGTAACAAAACGAGATGTAGAGTATGCAAGATAAATGTTCTAGGCACCAGAGTGAGCAAAGTGGGAGGTAGAGTCTGGGAAGGAACTGTGGTAGAAGAGGACCATGAACTAGATGCTAAAAGGACAGGAGAATTGGGGATGTCAGAGAGAAGGCATTTGGGGGAGCAAGAGCACAGGTACTCTTCCAGCTGAGGCGTACAAAGAAGAGGCTATGAGCTGCACCATCTGTATACTGGAGCTCTTAAAGCAGTAACGAGAAACCAAATGAGCAGCAGCACGTCGTTTGTGCTGAGCCAGCACTACTTTCTCATCTGGTCTCCCTTGTGATCAATGGACGCCATGTGTGAAACGCCTGACAGAGGTGTGCACATGCCACTGCAATATGGGCAGAGCCATCTGGAGGTCAAGTTCATAATAACCTTGGTCTTCTTAGCTCCATGGTCTGTCTGTCTAAACTAATCCCTGCTCCCTATGACAAAAAGAAAATGTATCTGACCTTTGTCAAAGACAAAGTCAGACACTAGTAAAGTACTAAAATAGACATTATTCTGTCATAACCACTGCAATAGGGAAGCGATACAGTGTGAACTGAGCTTACTTTGATTGTGCAGAGTTGACTGGGTGTTTGAAAGGGAGAATGAGGGAGTAGGATGGGAGAACCAGACCGAGCTTGAGCAGGGACTGGGTTTGTTGATTGGTGCTTATGTGGAAGAAAAGCAGATTTCCCCTCACATCTTTATGACAGGAGATAGTGCTGCTAGTTAGAGCGCAGTGGTCACCCTACTGGGAGATGTGGTAAGGAGAGCAGAGTTATTTCCCTGAATTTTTGCATTTCAAAGAGATGGCCAGCAGGCGCAGTGGCTCACGCCAGTAATCCCACCACTTTGGGAGGTCTGGGCGGCCGGATCACTGGAGGTCATTCGGAATTTGAGATCAGCCTGGCCAACATGGTAAAACCCCGTCTCTACTAAAAATACAAAAATTAGCCAGATATAGCGGCAGGAGCCTGTAATCCCAGCTACCCAGGAGTCTGAGGCAGGAGAATCACTTCAACCATCTCAAAAAAAAAAAAAGGAATGGCCCTCAGGTTCTCGAGGAGACAGTTCTGGATAGTGGAAATCAACATCACAAAGAGGGAGAGAAAGCATCTACACTTGCAAACTTTCTAAAGGTACTGCTCTAAGGCAGGCAGGTGAAGGGGCCTATCTGTCTATTACCAGGTTTGGGCTGGAACAAACAGTAATTCTCCAGCAGCCTTGAGCATTCCCAGGCAGGAACTTTAAGGGGAGTGAGGGGTCATCCTAGGGGTTCAGCCTTAACTGTTAGAGACTATATTACTGGTGGTTCGAGTCTTTTAGTGGGGAAGAGAGAGTGTGGATGAAATCATTTGTTCTGAGAGTCTGTAGTTTTTACAGGCCAAAGTTGAGGCCTCATCAAAAAGAGGACTCAGAGGAGTCTTTCTAAAGTTTGAGCCGGGCATGGTGGCTCACGTCTATAATCCCAGAACGTTGGGAGGGTGAGGTGGCAGGATCACTTGAGCTCAGGAGATTCACGCTGCAGTGAGATATGATCATGCCATTGCACTCCAGCCTGGCAACAGACTGAGGCCCTGTATCTATTTTTAAAACATAAAGTAATAAATAAACTTTGGTCAAGAAGAGAGTTTTTGTCGCCCTCCAATATTTGTTCAAAATGCTCCACTTAGCTCGTTTTTTAAAATACCATCACTAAGCTTGACATTTGGTTGTTATAAAACCTGGGTCTTGGTCTTTAACTTAATTTTAGTTCTTGGGTTTTTCTCAGTATGATCACAGGGGAGTAGAAAGAGGGTTTTAACATAAGTTATTTCAGCCCTTTGCATAGCTCTTAAGTTCAGCTTTCAAGACTCCAGCTGCAGGAGGAAGCCTTTAGAAACTGGAATGACCTTGAAAAGCTTCTTCCACCCATCGCCTGGGCCTGAGCAGGTGCAATTCAAAATGACCTCAAGGGGGGAGTTGAGCTTTTATAGGCAACAGGCTGCACTTTAGTTGTCCCAGCCTGTGCAGACATACTAAATCAAAATTAACTGTTAATGATGGTGGTGTCAGTACCACTCTGCTGGGGAAACTAAAAGGCAGAGAAACGAGGCTCTAACAGCTGTCAGTAATTGGGTCACTGCCTTCCCCTGAGCACTGGCTGCCTACACTTTTGCCAGCACCTACTATCATTAATGGCCCTGCTGCCAAAAAGACTTACCTTTGCCAAGATGTTGGGCTGGATGAACACGTGTTCTTTCAGGAGAAGCCGAAAGTCCTTGAGAGAAGCACAAAAGCAGGACATGAGTCCACACAGAAAAATGTGAGAAAGGTCTGATGCATCACTAAATAGTGCCGTGGGCAGAACACGCTAACAGTGGCTGCATCCGCACTTTTGTTACTGTGGGCAGAGTGAACGGCAGGTGGAGGCTGGCTTCCCTACAAGTTTCATGTGTCCTTTTTTGTTGTCTTTTCCTGAAAAATGAGCAGACACTGTCAAAACTTCTTTATTATCAATTCAGCAATGAGAAAAAGTCTTTCCCATTATTTATTCCAAATGCGTAATTGGCATGTTACTGATTCATAATGGCGAGTGGTTTCATCCATAAATAATGATCAATTGAGTTCCTGTGTCTGATACAGACCACTAAGCAGACTAAGATCAGAGAAACCCACTCAATATTTCGCTTTTCCTTAGTGAATGTCAATGATCTGTTGAATGAGAAGCTTGAATCCCACCCTTGGTAACAGATGTCCTGGCTGGTCTCTGCTAGAATTGCAGATAAATTGTTCCACAGGTAATTCAAGTGGCTTGGAAGGAAATGAGTTCCACTCCTTATCCCTGGGAACACTCGCCACATCTATACTGTGAATTAAGAAGCTTCAGAGTGTTATTGGGGTGTTTTATTTAAGCACCTCAGTTTGGTGTTACTTACAAACCAATGTAAGTTAGTAGTTACATGTATGCGACTATGGAGGGCGGTGGAGTTCTCTCAGATTAAAAGCTCTTCTTGCTTTTCAGGCAGTACCATCAAAGTGGCAATTCAAGGAAACCCGGAAGTGAACTGCTGGGCTTGCTGTCTGGGGGTAGGCAGTGTTTCCTGCATGGTGGAGTACTCCAAAAGGGGCAACTGTGGAGCTACATCACTGGTGACCACAGAAAAAGAAATGGGATGGCTGTTTATTTGTTCTCAGAACCATCCCCTGCTCTTTTCTTCTCAGAATTGTAGGGGCCAGAGCCTGGACATTTCCATTTCCCAGTCTTCCTTGTTGACCTGGTGCTCAGTTAGGTTTATTCTGTGGGAACCCACTTGGAGCTCCAGAGCTGGTATTGTGAAAGATGTCAGAGTCAAAATGGAGTCACTGATGTTAAGAAAACCCTGACAATAGAGCCAGGGAAGGCCATGAAGAGAGGGTTTCATGCTTGTATGCCTGATCATGAAAAAGACTCTACAACAAAACACAACTTTGTACATAAAATACTTCTGCAAGGACTTCTGCCCAGCAACTGCCAGTCCAACCTTGGACTGGTGCCACCATTATTATTGATCTTCATAGCCAAGGATAATTATTTCAAAACAATTACATAATCCTCATTTTTTCCTTTGAAAACCTTTGTGTTCCTTCACCTCCCTAAATATGCACATAGTTTACTACGGTATGTGCATTCCTATTGCAATGTTCCATTCCCAAATAAACATCTTTTCTTTTAGAGAGCCTCTCTCTGTCATTTAGGTGGAAAATATAAAGATTATTTTAAGCTGAAGACATTTGAGATTCAACAGATACAGAAAGGAGCCCTCTCAGAGCTTCGTTTCTCTGACAAAAAGCAGAAACTTCTAAATGAGGGTGCCATAAATTTCCTCTTTGAAGCAGATTTTCTCCCATGAGAGAGACCAAGAGTTAACCTACCATAAATCCCCTCTTCAGTGTGGTTTCATGGCCAGAAAGAAGACAGAAAGACTACTTACAAACGAACATTATTAAAAACTTTCTTTTCTCCTGTTTTTTTTCCCCTAAAAACCTATTTGTCTTTCCTAAAGAAATCTATTTGTTCTTTCATGAGGAGACTTTTCTCCTTTCTCCCTTTCACCTATGAAGTTAGGAATGTAAGCCCCAAATTCCAACCACCACACCACACCCAGTGACTCCTCACTGAGCACTCATGTGTGCATTGCACACACAAACTGTCTTTTCTCCTGTGACTCTGTCTTTTGTCTGTTAAATTGACAGGCCCTGAGCTACCGAATGTAAGATAGTAAAGGAAAAGTTTTTCCTTCTCAATAGGCCAGTGGGAGGCACTGGCGGGAGATCTGGCAGCATCTCCAGCTGCGTCTCCTCTAAGGTCCCAGCTTTTTTGAGGCAGCCTCTCTGCAGCCTCAGCTCCTTGGGCAGGCTCCAAAGTGGTTAACTCCCACCAATGGTGGTGGTTCTGGCTCCTGGCTTCCCAATACCACCTTTTCTTTTGTTCTTTCTAGTCCTGTGGGTAGTAGTAGCCTCTTGCTGTTGCTAATATCTGGCTTGCCTCCTTGTCCTTTGTTTGACTTTTCAATTCTCTCAAGACTTTTGTATTTGGTTCCCTATATCAAATTCCCTCAACAAAATTATCTGAGATGGGCTCTGTTTTCCAAACAGGACACTCTCTGATAAAAGAGGTAGGCATGGCTTGGTCTTCCTCATCACTATCAGGGACTTTCCAATGCCAGTCTTCCTTAAATTCTTTATAGGAACAGGAAATTGGTTAGTGTTTGGGGGATATAGAGAAGAAAATCTTTTTCCTTCTATCCTCCTAGCTTCAATGGCTGAGGCCCGCAAATCAAACTGATAAAGGCAGGTGAACAAGAAAGAAAACACAGTTTAATTTATATATGTACAAATGAGAGAAAATGTGACTCAAGGAGGTAGCCAGATGCTTGATGCTTTTACACAGACTAAGCTACACAAATAAAAGGGTCTTTGGGCTTCTGAGCAGAGGAAGCAAGTTATGGGTAGGTGAGGGGAGAAATGTAAGGTAAAGAAGACTTGTCCTGTTATGCAGATAATACTCTCTGGCGGTGGGGGTGGGGTGGAGGGGATAAGACTTGTCTCCCTGGAGTAGCTGTGTCCTTGGTACGGAGACATCTTTACAAATGGAAGTGTCCTTCAAAAATATAAACTTTTTTACAAAAAAATTACTTTGTGGTATGGTTTGGATTTTTGTCCCCTCCCAAATCTCATGTTGAATTGGAGGAGGGGCCTGGTGGGAGGTGATTGGATCATGGGGGCAGATTTCCCCCTTGCTGGTCTTGTGATAGTGAGTGAGTTCTCAGGAGACCTGATTGTTTAAAAGTGATGTGGAGCCTCCCCTCCTTCCCCTGCCACCATGTGAAGAGGGTGCTTGCTTCCCTTTCCAACATGATGGTACATTTCTTGAGGCCTCCCAGTCATGCTTCCTGTTAAGCCTGCGGAACTGTGAGTCAATTAAACCTCTTTTCTTTATAAATTATCCAGCCTCAGGTAGTTCTTTATAGCAGTGTGAGAACAGACTAACACAGAAAATTGGTACCAGGAGTAATGCACTGCTATAAAGATACCTGAAAATGTAGAAACAATGCCAGAACTGGGTAATGGGCAGAGGTTGGCACAGTTTGGAGGGCTCAGAAGAAGACAGGAAGATATGGGAAAGTTTGGAGCTTCCTAGAGACTTGTTGAATGGCTTTTGACAGAAATGCTGATGATGACTATGGACAATGTAGTCCGGGCTGAGGTGGTCTCAAATAGAGAAGAGGAACTTATTGAAAACTGAAGTAAAGGTCACTCTTGCTATGCTTTAGCAAAAAGTCTGGTAGCATTTTGCCCCTGCCTTAGAGATTTATGGAATTTTGAACTTAAGAAAGATGATTTAGGGTATCTGGCAAGAGAAATTTTTAAGCAGCAAAGCATTCAAGATATGACCTGACTGTTTGTAAAAGTGTATGTTCATATGCACAAACAAAGAGATTGTCTGAAACTGGAAGCAGAGCGTGAAAGTTTGGAAAATCTGCAGCCCAGCCATGTGGTAGCCAGCCATTTTCTGGGGAGAAATTCCAGTCTGTTCTAGAAATTTTGATAAGTAAAGAGGAGCCAAATTTTAATAGCCAGGACAGTGGAGAAAATGTCTCCAGGGCATTTCAGGGACCTCCATGGCAGCCCCTCCCATCACAGACCTGGATGCCTAGTAGGAAAAAATGGTTTAGTGGGCCAGGCCCAGGGCCCTGCTCCTCTGTGCAGCCTTAGGACATGGCATCCTGCATCCCAGCTGCTCCAGCTCCAACTGTGGCTAAAAGGGGCCAAAGTACAGCTCTGGCCATGGCTTCAGAGGGTGCAAGCCCCAAGCCTTGGCAGCTTCCATGTGGTATTGGCCTATGGGTGCGCAGGTTTGGGAATTGAGGTTTGGGAATCTCCACGTAGATTTCAGAGGATGTATGGAAATGCCTGGATGTCCAGGGCAGACGTCTACTGCAGGTGGGGGGTGCCCTCATGGAGAACCTCTTCTAGGGCAGTGCAGAGGGAAAATGTGGTGTTGGAGCCCCCACACAGAGTCCCCACTAGGGCACTGCCTACTGGAGCTGTGAGAAGAGGGCTACTGTCCTTCAGACTCCAGAATGGTAGATCTACTGACAGTTTGCACTGTGTGCCTGGAAAAACCACAGGCACTAAACTTCAGCCGTGAAAGCAGCCATGTGGGCTATACCATGCAGAGCCACAGGGGTGGGGCTGCCCAAGGCATTGGGAGCCCACCTCTTGCATCAGTATGACCTGGATGTGAGACATGGCATCAAAGGAGATTATTCTGGAGCTGTAAGATCTAATGACTTCCCTGCTGGGTTTCGGACTTGCATGGGGCCTGTAGCCCATTTGTTTTGGCTAATTTCTCCCATTTGGAATGGGAGCATTTACCCAATCCCTGTACCCCAATGTGTCTTGGAAGTAACTGTTTAATTTTACAGGCTCATAGATGGAAGGGACTTACCTTGTCTCAGGTAAGACTTTGGACCGTGGACTTTTGAGTTAATGCTGAAATGAGTAAAGAATGGGGGACTGTTGAGAACAGATAATTGTATTTTGCAATGTGAAAAGGACATGAGATTTGGGAGGGGACAGGGGCAGAATGATATGGTTTGGATTTGTGTTCCCACCCAAATATCATGTCAAATTGGAGGAGGAGCCTGGTGGGAGGTGATTGGATCTTGGCGGCAGATGTTCCCCCTTGCTCTTCTCGTGATAGTGAGTGAGTTCTCATGAGATCTGATGGTTTAAAAAGTGTGGGGCACTTCCACCCCACTCTCCTGCTGTCATTTAAGATGTGCCTTGCTTCCCCTTTGCCTTCCGCCATGATTGGAAGACTCCTTAGTCCTCCCCAGCCATGTGGAACTGAGTCAATTAAACCTCTGTTCTTTATAAATTGCCCAGTCTCAGGTAGTTCTTTACAGCAGTGCGAAAACAGACTAATACACTTTGTTTTCAGGCAGTCATCAGGAGATAAAGAGCTTTTCCTGTATCTGCTGGCTCTTAATTGCCTTTAGCTCAAAATAATTCATAAGCCAAAAAGGCATATTTTGGGCTGAGATATTCTGGTACCCTTTAAGGACAATGGGAACTGGAGAAACAGTTGTAGGCCAGCAAAGGGAGGAAAAATAGAGCTGTTTGGCCACGGTGTGTTTCCATAAATATGAGCAAGAAATGATACAGAGAAGGGAAAGATGAAGTCCAGAGATCTAAGGGGGAAGAAAAGGGCCTAGCTTCCAGAATCTGAACACTGCAGAAAACCTTTCTCTCATTTTACTGTGGAAACCAGAAAGGCATCAATTTAAGACCAGGTAGATTACAGTTTGGTTCCTGTTTGAAGTTGTTTCATGACACCCATACTTTCTATTGAGGGTTTGCTGTGTGCTGCAGAGGATACAAAGGTGAATCTAATAGGATACAGTCCTAATGAAACATGCAGCTTAGCGGCAGAGATAAGGCATCCTCATAAATAACTGTATCAAAAGTGTTAAGAAGAGGAATTGAAGAGGAGAGGTAGGAACATAGTGCTGAGGGAGATTAGGAGAGGATGTTAAAGGCGTGTGCTTCCACCTCCACCTCACTGACCCATTCGGAAAAAAGGACGGCATGGGTGTCAGAGGCATTCGAACCAGAGTGACTTTATCTTGAATAGGTGCTGGATAAAATAAGGCTGAGACATACTATGCTGCATTCCAGTAGGTCAAGCATACTTAATCACAGTATGAGATAGGAGGTTGGCAGAAGATACAGGTCACAGAGACCTTGCTGATAAAACAGGTTGTGGTAAAGAAGCGAGCTAAAATCCACCAAAACCAAGATGATGACGAAAGTTACCTCTAGTCATCCTTACTGCTCATTTTATGCTAATTACAATGTATTACCACACTAAAAGACACTCCCACCAGTGCCATGACAGTTTACAAATGCCATGGCAACATCAGGAAGTTACCCCATATGGCCTAAAAAGGTGAGGAACCCTCAGTTCCAGGAATTGCCCACCTCTTTCCCAGAAAACTCATGAATAATCCACCCCTGTTTAGCATAAAATCAAGAAATACCTGTAAGTATACTCAGTTGAGCAGCCCATGCCACTGCTCTGCCTATGGAGTAGCCATTCTTTTATTCTTTCACTTTCTTAAAAACTTGCTTTCACTTTACCATATGGACTTGTCCTGAATTCTTTCTTGCATGAGGTCCAAGAACCCTCTCTTAGGGTCTAGACTGGGACCCCTTTCCAGTAACATGGGGAACCTGTGAGTGCTGCATGCCAGTGGCACACTAAGTTCTGCTAGAGAAAAAATTATTTGATGATCCTTATTAAACACAGTAAGTGACAGGGCTCAGGACATACCACTCCAAAATACGACTGCCAGAGTCCAGAATATGCCACCCCAAAATAGGCCTCTTTGGCATAAGGTTTATTTTGAGCTGGTTATTTTGAGAAACTGCAGACACAGGAGAAGTTCTGGAAAGTTACCCTTTTGTGTAAGAGAAATTTGCAGCTATAAAGGCAGTCTCCATTTTTAAGTGTGTCTCCCTCTCTGCACCAGGAGGAGAAGGAAGACTAAATCTTTAGAGATGCTTAATCAATAAAGAAGGAAGGCACCAACTTAAATCTGTACAACAAATGTGCCTTTGTTTAAGATGCTTTTTCTGGCCATCTTATCTTAGCTGGCCATTCTCTCCATCCTTATTTCTTTGTTTCAGAGAATAATGCTATTCAAGCCTGAGGTTTTAAAATCTTTCTTTGAGATCTACTCTAGAGATTTACTCATTTCTCTGGGTTATCTCCCATGTTACAGGGGGTACACATGTTATTAAACTTCCATTTGTTCCTCTCTTGTTAATCTGTCTTTTGTTATAAAGCTCATGAAGGTTGGAGGAGGGCATTATTTTTCCTCCCATACATAAAGAGAGGCAAAATGCCCTCAGGATTTGTTTTTTTCACCCCCCAAGCTGAGAACTAAATTGACATAAGAGGGATCAACAGGAAAAAACATACAGAAAATTTAGTACGATTTCACATGGCACAGGGGACTTCATAAGGAAATGAAGACCCAAAGATGCTGCTAGAGATGAACACTTGTATAAAGAATTAAAGAGTAGTAAATTGTGAAAATGTGATGCAGCAAAGGGTATTGGGTAGTGCAGTGGCTAGGAAGATAAGGATTAGTCTATGGTTTGTTCAGATTCCCCTCAGCCTCAACTTCCCATCCTTGATGATAAGAATGATACTTTCCTTCTGGAATAGGCAGAATATCCCTCATGTAGGAATTTCATCTCCTGCTTTTAGGAAACAGAAGGAAGGTCAGAGTTATCTTCTCGCATCTGCCGTTTTTTGAGTGCCTCTAACTCAAAATACTCAATATGCCGGAACATATTGTGGGGTGGCAGGTTCTTAACCCCTTCATAAGGCAGACTTTATTCAGGACCATTCAGATACGTATAGGGACCACTGTGATGGGATTTTTCAGTAGGGGAGAAAGATTGGGCTCAACTCCAAATATACCGTGGGCAAGTGGGAATTTAGAGCCAAGGAGCAGGAAATGGGTCAGTGGATGGAAAATTATTAAAAGGAAACATGCAGGGTAAGGCGGGTTCTGGCTAAACCAGCCTAACAGGATTCTTGCTGAAGGCAGGCCAGGGTAATCAGACATCATCTGGGGGTGTTACAGAACTGAACCGGGGTTGCCTGGCACAGCAAAGCCAATCACTGAAATTAGAATGATGTAGGGGAGAAAAAGTAGTATCTTCTCCTCACTTGTCACAAGGTTCACAGCAGACACCCCTATAGCAAAAAACAGGCCAGGCATGGTGGCTCATGACTGTAATCTTTGCACTTTGGGAGGCTGAGGTGGGTGAATCACTTGAGCCCAGGAATTTGAATTCAGCCTGGGCAATATAGCTAGACCCTGTAAGAAGAAGGAAGAAAGGAGAAGAGAAGAGAGGAGAGGGGAGTGGAGGGCAAGGGAAGGGAGGAGAGGAGAGGAGAGGAAAATGGGAAGGAAAGGAGAAGGAAAAGGAAAAAACCTGGAAAGGATTTTCTGAACTTCCCCTGAAGCAGATCATAAGACCTCATATGAGAGGTGTCCTCCATACACCAAGGGAAATGAAACATCCTTATTTTCAAAGACACAGAGACACAGAGAAGAATTAATAAGGAAGACTTGCTGTTTCCCCTAGTTTACTACCATTAGATCATACTCTTTGCCCTATTATATTTCTCCAAGACTGTCCACTCTTCATCAAACCTAGCAAAAACAATGCTCAGGTTTACTCCATTTCTTTGGGTCTTCATTTCCTTGTGAAGGCTCCTCTGTCATGTAAAACTTATATTAAATAAATTTGGATGCTTTTCTCTTGTTAATCTGTCTTTTGTTACAGGGACCCCCAGCCAATGAACCTAAAATGAGGGGAAGGAAAGATATTTTTTCTCCTTTACAGTGCCAAGGTTGAAAAACCCTGGCCTAGGCAATTAGGAAAGTAAGTATGTTTCTGCTGCTTTGCCAAAAAGGAAAACTGTATCCTTGATATTTGCTGAATTACCTTTTATCCCTCATTATCTAACATGAATTCAGTTTATTAACTAACCCCAGAGTGTGTGTAAGGGTGAATAAGAAACTTAATTCTTCCTGTTGAAAATAAGGAAAGAGACCCACCTCTCTACTTCGCCCCCTCTTTTTTCTAAGAATTTCTTAGCCCTTTTCAAATGTATGTAAGTCTTTTAAATAGCTAAATAAGCCTCTTTCCAGGCTCATGATTCAAAAATGTTTTCTCAAGGACCTGGGAGTCATTTCTTTGAAATGTAACCATCAAGGAAGATAATACCCTATCTTCCCAGTCTCCTGGGAGGAGGTGGGCTAACTTTGGCTATCACCTGACTCAAATTCACAAATCACCTGCCTAATGTGATGGGTTATGTCCAGCTAGCTATATGTCAGTGGATTTCTTTCTGATTTTGCAATCTCTTTAGCAGATTGTCTGAGCTGCACATCACATTCTGATTTAATGCTTATTTAATCATAACACTGTTTTCTTTCTCCTCTTTGTAAAGAAGTTTTCTGAAATGGGAGTTTTTTGTTTTGTTTCGGGTTTTTTTTTTTTTTTTTTTTTTTTACTTATATTGCCCAAACAAATGCCATTTTACTTACAATGGTTAAAGTGCAAGATCTGTCAGAGATATGGACACACAAATTTCTTCATGGTTTCGTGATAGGCTATTTGACCAAATTATTATTTTTTTTCTTTTTCTTTTTCTTTTCATTTAACAGATGAGGAAATGAAACACAAAGTTATTCTTATTTTCTTATTTCATCTTGATTGGTTTAAGATCAAGTCCTCTGTTGTTTAAATGTTTTTAGAAAGCTATTATATTATATAAATGTTCTTAGAGAGCTATTATATATGACATAAAATGTATGTATGTATTAATGAACATATATAAATGTTCTTAGAAAGCTATTATATAGTAGCTCAGAAAGCTACTATATCTATTAGAATTTGGTTAAAAACCAAATTATAACAGACCAAATTATATATAATTATATATAATAGACCAAATTATAATAGATATTAGTATTATTTTCAAATAAATTGTATGTGATCTTAAAATCACCTTTGTTTCAAAAAAAGTGGCAACTGAAGAATGATGAGGTTCATAAGTATGGAAAGGAGAGCTTTATTTTTCATAAAGGGTTGCAGCCTGCAAGTGGCCATTTTGACAGGCTGGGAAGCATAATCTCCCATCGGAAGCCAGAGACAAGCACTTCAAGGGTGAGAAGAATAAGACAGGAATTTATACTGAAGTGGGTGGCCAAATATACATATTCAATAAGCTATAGGAGGAGTCATGAATATTTATAAAATGAGAAACACATGTGCAATTGACCTCCATGCCTCTTGTCACACCAAGTGTCAGGTTCCAGCCTATGCTGAGGTCCAAGGGGAGTGGGTGGATGGGTGGCAAATAGCTGAAAGAACACTCAGGGGGCCATAGGCAGGTGAAATATGGTTTTATTCAGCAGCTCTCGTACACTGTTCCTTTGTCTCAGCTGTCTGCTCTAGCTGCACCCCTTCTGTGCAGCCAGCTCTGCAGCTTTTGTCACTCCCACACTTACAGCTGCATTCCTTGACACACTTGCTGGTTTCTGGCTCCCCTCATCCATCTGCAAGATAGTTGGCTCTCCCTACAAGGTCAGGAGCTTCACTCTCTCCCTCTGAGTGTGTGTCCCATGTACAGTGTCTGCAGGGCAGCTATAGCTTTTAAAAACATAGTGGCTTTAAGCCAAGTATGAGCTTACACACACGCGTTATACAACAAGTGGAGTTGTGCGCCTGCACTCCAAACTTGCTGAGTCATGCTGGCCTGCATGTCTGCCTCGGCCTATTCTTGACCAAAGCACGTTCATTTACCTTACACCTCTCCATGAGACCCATGTTCAAAAATGGTGGCCTTAGCATGATCCCAGGGTTAAGTTTTTGGGCCTCTGATGTCAAAAGGTGAAACAGGCCAGGCATATTGGCTCAAACCTGTAGTCCCAGCACTTTGGGAGGCCAAGATGGGCAGATCACTTAAGCCTAGGAATTTAAGACCAGCCCGGGCAACATGGCAAAACCCCATTTCTACAAAAAATACAAAAATTAGCTGGGGAGACTGCTGTGATCATGCCACTACACTCTAGCCCAGGAAACAGAGTGAGTGAGACTGTCTCGAAACAACAACAAAAAACAAACAAACAAACAAACAAAAAACAAAATATGAAGCCGAGGACATGAAAACCCTCACTGCACATCCTCCTTAGGCTGGCAAGAACCATCCCATGGTGGAAGCCAACTTCTGGTGCCATGTTTTCTCACCAGGTCCCTGTGACAAGGAAGTGGCAGTGACAGCCATGATACAGAAGCACTACCTTGAAGCTTCAGAGCAGGGACTGCACAACAGCTGCCAAGGCCAAGCCTGCTATCTCCTATGATAAGAGTACTTTTGAAGAAATGTGTCCACACTGTTTGCAGTTGCTGATTCTGGATAACTCTTGAGTGTGTCTCAAACCCAAAGCCACATTGACACCCAAAATACAGAAACTGATTAATCAAGAAGCATGAAATTATACACTCAGTTTTAAAGAAGCAAAAATTGTGAAAAAATTCAAAGACGACAAAAGTGTATTGTTGATTACTTGTAAAACATGCCGCAGAACAGTGAAACATCATGGTAAGAGTAGAAGCTTTCTATCAGCATTGAAGAGCAATCCTACTACTCCTCAAGTAAACTCAGCCTGAAGACACCAAAGAGAAGGACTGCAAACCCAAATCATGAGATGTCTGGTTCCAAAGGCAAAAGCCCAGTATTGATTTCCAGAACACCTACATCTGGAGAGTCAGTATTTTCTTGCTCCCCAAAGAATGTGAGCAAAACAAAGAAACATTTCCCTCAATGAAATGTTGGCTCCCTCTTGGCTCCCTCCCAGTTTGGGGAAATGTTTTTCTACATAATTCCAGGTTTTTCTTGTAAAAAAATGTTCCTTAGTCAGAATGAATCCCAAAAGAATCCAAAGATAGACTTCAGAAATTTCTTATCTTCTCTGAAGGGTGGACTTTGACAATAAGAAATGCCTGATGTCAGTCAGTTCTGAAACTGAAGTTAGTGAAACAACTTTTTAAACTTATTTATTTTTTGAATACATGGAAACTTGATCTGAGTGAAAAACAACAACAAAAAAGAACCAGCCCATGGTTGGTGATCTCTTATCATGAAGGAATGCTGGTTGGTTGTTTTGTGGAAGCTGCAAAAGGGAGGGGCAGTGTCAGGGTGTTGGTTAAATGAAGGGTGAAATCAGTCTTTCCAAAGGGCTGGTTTCTGTTTAATCCTTAGGGAAAAAAGTCTAATGGTGGTTAGTGAGGGAGGGGGTATAATGAGGCGTGATATGGTTTCGCTGTGCCTCCTCACCAAATCTCAACTTGAATTGTATCTCCCAGAATTCCCAGGTGTTGTGGGAGGGACCCAGGGGGAGGTAATCGAATCATGGGGGCCAGTCTTTCCCATGCTATGCTATTCTTGTGATAGTGAATAAGTCTCACAATATCTGATGGGTTTATCAGAGGTTCCGCTTTAGCTTCTTTTTTTTTTTTTTTTTTTTTTTTTGAGATGGAGTCTAGCTCTGTCACCCAGGCTGGAGTGCAGTGGCACAATCTTAGCTCACTGCAACCTCCGCCTTCTGGGTTCAAGTGATTCTCCTGCCTCAGCCTTCTGAGTAGCTGGGATTACAGGCGCCCACCACCACGCCCAGCTAATTTTTGTATTTTTAGTAGGGACGGGGTTTCACTGTGTTGGCCAGGCTGTTCCCAAACTCCTGCCCTCATGATCTGCCCACCTCGGCCTCCCAAAGTGCTGGAATTACAAGTGTGAGCCACTGCGCCCAGCCCCACTTTAGCTTCTTCCTCATTTTTCTCTTGCCACCGCCATGTAAGAAGTAACTTTCACCTGCTACCATGATTCTGAGGTCTCCCCAGCCATGTGGAACTGTAAGTCCAATTAAACCTCTTTTTGTTCCCAGTTTCGGGTATGTCTTAATCTGCAGCATGAAAACAAACTAATACAGTAAATTGGTACTAGTAAAGTGAGTGGGACATCGCTGAAAAGATACCTGAAAATGTGGAAGCAACTTTGGAACTGGGTAACAGGCGGATGTTGGAACAGTTTGGAGGGCTCAGAAGAAGACAGGAAAATGTGGGAGTTTGGAACTTCCTAGAAACTTATTGAATGGCTTTGCCCAAAATGCTCATAGCAATATGGACAGTAAGGTCGAGGCTGAGGTGGTCTCAGATGGAGATGAGGAACTTGTTGGGAATTGGAGCAAAGGTGATTCCTGTTATGTTTTAGCAAAGAGACTGGCAGCATTTTGCCCCTGCCCTAGAGATGTGTGGAACTTTGAACTTGAGAAAGATGATTTAGGGTATCTGGTGGAAGACATTTCTAAGCAGCAAAGCATTCAAGAGGTGACTTGGATACTGTTAAAGGCATTCAGTTTTATAAGGGAAGCAGAGCATAAAAGTTGGGAAAATTTGCAGGCTGAACATGCAATAGAAAAGAAAAACCCTTTTTCTGGGGAGAAATTCAAACTGGGAGAAAATTGCATAAGTAGTAGGGAGCCTAATGTTAATCCCCAAGACCTTGGGGAAAATGTCTCCAGGCCATGTCAGAGACCTTCACGCAGCCCCTCCCATCACAGGCCTGGAGGCCAGGAGGAAAAAGAATGGTTTCGTGGGCCAGGCCCAGGGTCCCTGTGCTGTGTGCAGCCTATGGACTTGGTGCCCTGTGTCCCAGCCATTTTAGCTGTGGCTGAAAGGAGCCAACGTAGAGCTCAGGCTGTGGCTTCAGAGGACAGAAGCCCCATTTCTTGGCAGCTTCCACTTGGTGTTGAGCCTGCAGGTGCACAGAAGTCATGAATTGAGGTTTGGGAAACTCCGCCTAGATTTCAGAAGACGTATGGAAATGCCAGGATGTGCAGTCAAAAGTTTGCTGCAAGGATGGGGCCCTCATGGAGAACCTCTGGTAGGGCAGTGCAGAAAGGAAATGTGGGGTCAGAGCCCCCATGCGGAGTCCCTCCTGAGGCACTGCCTAGTGGAGCTGTTAGAAGAAGGCCACCATCCTCCAGACCCCAGAATGGTAGATCCACCAACAGCTTGCACAATGCACCTGGAAAAGCTGCAGACACTCAATGCCAGCCTGTGAAAGCAGCCAGAAGGGAGGCTGTACCCTGCAAAGCCACAAGGGTGGAGCTTCCCAAGACCATGGGAACCCACCTCTTGCATCAGCATGACCTGGATGTGAGACCTGGAATCAAAGGAGATCATTTTGGAGCTTTAAAATGTGACTTCCATGCTGGATTTCAGATTTGCATGGGCCCTGTAACCCCTTTGTTTTGGTAAATTTCTCCCATTTTGAACAGCTGTATTTACCCGATACCTGTACCCCCATTGTATCTAGGAAATAACTAGCTTGCTTTTGACTTTACAGGCTTATAGGTGGAAGGGACTCGCCTTGTCTCAGGTGAGACTTTGGACTGTTGACTTTTGGGTTAATGCTGAAATGAGTTAAGACTTTGGGGGACTGTTGGGAAGGCATGATTGGTTTTGAAATGTGAGGACATGAGATTTGGAGGGGCCAGTGGTGGTTTGATATAGTTTGGCTGTGTCCCCACCCAAATCTCAACTTGAATTTTATCTCCCAGAATTCCCGCATATTGTGGGAGGGACCCATGGGGAGGTAATTGAATCATGGGGGCCAGTCTTTCCCATGCTATTCTTGTGATAGTGAATAAGTCTCACAAGATCCGATGGGTTTATCAGGGGTTTCTGCTTTAGCTTCTTCCTCATTTTTATCTTGCCACTGCCAAGTAAGAAGTTCCTTTCACCTGCCACCATGATTCTGAGGCCTCCCCAGCCATGTGGAACTGTAAGTCCAATTAAACTTCTTTTTGTTCCCAGTTTTGGGCACGTCTTTATTAGCAGCATGAAAACGAACTAATACAAGGCGTGTCTGACTTTCTGTCCTGTCATGTCCAGGAACTCAGTGTTCAAAGTTTCTCTGGGGTCCTCTTGGCCAAGAGAGGGTCCCTTCAGTCAGTTGGGGGACTTAGGATTTCTTTTTTGTTTCTCAGTCATAAGACCTTCGTGTGACAGCCAGAGAAAGGGAATGAACACACAGAGACACCAAGATAAATCTGAACACACAGCCCTTGTTAAGTCCCCCAGTTTATTACTGTTAGATCATACCCCCTTATCCAATCATGTTTCTCCACAAGTATCTACTCTTCATCAAACCTAAACAGAAAAGTGCACAGTTTCCTCCATTTTTGGGTTCTTCATTTCTGAAGGCTGCCATGTCACATAAAACTTTGGTTAAATAAATTTGTTACACTTTTCCCTTGTTAATTTGTTTTTGTTATGGGGCGTAAGTCATGAACCTTGCAACAAGCAAGGAAAAAATATTACTCTTTCTTCCCTACACCATTGTACTAATTTCTTTTTTAAAAAATTATTCTATCCTTCATGAATAGGAGCTATGCTTAATAAAAATAATTCCCATAGCTGAGCTTACATAAGAAGTAGTGATTAGCTGTGCAATTGCAAAAAACTAAAATAAAATAAGCTCTGATTCAGGTTGGGAGGCAAATGTTGAACCCCTGCAGAGACTGCAAAATCCCAAAGAAAGACCTTCCCTTCTGCTACCTACATAGCCATCCAAAGAGCAAGGAATGCTGAACACTTGTAAGTGCTTCAACAGCAATGTCAAATCTGGACTGAAGGTTAAAAAAAGACAAAAATACTAGCAAAAGAGTGATCTAGAGGATATTGCCTGTCTTGTAACTTTTAATTTTTTTGTTTTTAAATTAATATTTATTAAGAGGAAAGAGCTTTCGTATCATAAAACTAATATTCACTGCTGAAAATGTAGAAAATAAAGAAAAGCCAAAAAAAGGTTCATTAAAACATTTCCTCATCAGGAAATAACTCATGCTAACCCTTTGGGTTGCATTCTTCCCACATACACATTTTAATTGTAGTGTGATGGGTCCTGCACCAGGTTACTGAAGGGTGCATGCCTGCTGCTGGAACCTCGAAGGCCAGGTAGTGAGCCAAGGCCATGCTGTGCAGCTGAGGCAACAGGTATCCCTGAGAACCTAAGCATCCTGAGGAGTATCTGAGAACCTACCAAGAAAAACAGTCTCATCACTCAAACACGGTAGACAAAGAGCCAGAAAATCAGCTTAAAGATAGTTCAGAGATGGGAGGTGGCACAGATCTCTAGAGCAGTCCTGCTGCTGTCCAGGAGTGCCCTGTAGGTAAATCTTAATAAACACATCTACTTGCCAAAGCTGGACTTCTCTGAATAATTCTTTGGTTTCTTGGCTCCCTCCCACTTTGTGGGAACATTTTTCTATACAATTCCAGGTTTTTCTTGTAATATTAATGCACTTAAATGTGCTGTTGTTAGTCCTGTGTAAAGGAGACAGGGTCACTGTGGACACCTGTGGTTCAGACATAGTACAGAAGTTGCTGGAAGCTGATGAGAGTAATAATGATCATACCATTCTTGGTAGAATCATCCATCCTTGTTAAGAAAATACTCCAAGACGTTTGTATTTGTACATAGTCAAGTCACAGCCACGAATGAAAAAAATAGGCTCTTTTCCAAAGACTTTGTAGGGGAGGAAAAAGCTTTTTCCTCTTCCCTCTTATGTTCTGTAGTTGAGGCCTGTGAATTAAACCAACAAAAGACAGATTAGCAGAAGAAAAAGTGGCCAGGTACAGTGGCTCACACCTGTAATCCCAGCACTTTGGGAGGCCGAGGCAGAAGGATGACTTGAGGTCAGGGGTTCGAGACCAGCCAGGCCAACGTGGTGAAACCCTGTCTCTACTAAAAATACAAAAAAATTAGCTGGGCATAGTGGTGCATGCCTGTAATCTCAGCTACTCAGGAGACTGAGGCAGGAGAATCGCTTGACCTGGGAGGCAGTGGTTGCAGTGAGCCGAGATCGCGTCATGGCACTCCAGCCTGGGTGACAGAGTGAGACTCTAGCTCAAAAAAAAAAAGAAAAGAAAAGAAAAGAAACAGAAAAAACTGTAAAAGAAAATAAAATTTCAGGATCCTCTAAATTTATTATGCCCAGGGGAAAGTTAAGCCCTGGAGACTGAGACACAGAACATGTTTACAACTTCTGTTTCTTAGATTATAGATTAACTCTTTTCCATAAATGTTCCATTAATGACTAGAAAAGACCAGAAACCAGGCCCCTCCCCTTCCAATCAGTGGTTTTTGTTATAGATTAACTTCTTCCTTCATTGTCCCATATCTAAAACAGACCAAATGATGCAGAAGACCCCGTGACTGTTACCTCTTCAGTGTGGAATGTTAAATATACCTTTCCTGAGAAAAAAGACTACCTCAACTAATCCAATCATTGTAACTATGCACTAAGCCTCATGTAGAAAGATACTGAAATTCTGTTATGCTTCTCTATGTTTTGTCTAAATAAATGATCCTAAACTTCTACACTTCAGAACACTGACTTTCATTCTTTGGAATCTGTGTTTTCTCAGTAGCTGTCCTCAAACTTTGCATTTGAACAAACTCTTTTTTGTTTGTTTGTTTTCTGATTTTTGAGACAGGGTCTTCTCCTGTCACCCAGGCTGGAGTACAGTGGCATGATCATGGCTCACTGCAGCCTGGAATTCCCTGGGCTCAGATGATCTTCCCACCTCAGCCTCCCAAGTAGCTGGGACTACAGGTGTGTACCACCATGCTTAGCTAATTTTTGTATTTTTGGTGGAGACAGGGTTTCACCATGTTGCTCAGGCTGGTCTCAAACTCCTGAGCTCAGGTGATCCTCCCGCTACAGCCTCCCAAAGTGCTGGGATTACAGGTATGAACCACTGTGCCCGGCCTGCGCAAACTCTTTAAACTAGACTCTGACCCTTTGGATGATTTTTAGGTTGACAAGATGATGTGAAGACACAGCGGGAGAATATCACGTGATCACAGAGGCAGAGACTGGAGTGATGTGTCTGAGAGTCAAGGATGTCTCCACTGACACTTTGATTTTGGAATTCTAGCCTCCAGAACTGTGAGAGAATATATTTCTATTGTTTTAAGCCATCCAGTTGGTGACACTTCATTACAGCAGCCCTAGGAAATGAATACAACAGTGTCACATTGTTAGACACTGTGATGCCTTGTCCCCCTTCCTGGTGTTCTCTTTCGTGCAGCTGAGGTGAGCTCCACAATCATAATACCCCTGCCTCTCTCTCGCCCTGCACCCACTCTTCCCCAGCAGGGGAGAAGTAAACTGTGATTGCTGAGTTTGGGATACAGGAATAAGGCTCATGTCCTAGTTCTGTCTTATCCCATGTCCTCTTTGCTCTAGTTCTGTCTTATCCCATTGTCCTCTTTGCTGCTGCCCTGAAGGTCTCCCTTCTTTCTGCTCAGTTCTGCCATGCTCTGAGTTAGAGCTCTAAATGTAATTGGGTTCCCAAGAACCAGAGCCTGAGATGTAAGTTCTTGTTTCAGTGCTTCACTAGTGGATGCTCTCAGGAGAAGCAGAGTGAGGAATGCAGGATGGCATGGAGGATAAAGCTAAGTGAGGAAGTGGTCTCAGCTGCAGCCTGTCTTCAGTCTAACCCCATGAAGGTGCTCTGGAGCACAAATGGCCACACTGAGTCAGTTTCTTTGAGGAGAGCGGGCTGGGTTTTTTTCCTTCCCTGTGAGTCAGTCATCAGACCAGGGGCAGATGGATGAGAATGTGGCAGAGCCTCCTGGGGAGGTCAGGTCCAAGGCAGCTCCTGTGTGGCTGAGGGCAGTTCTCCAGCAACAGGGCAGCTGTGGAGTCCATCAGCCCAGAGTCACAGCAGCTGGGAGGCAAGGGTGACGGGAGCACCTGATGGCAAAGGGGATCTGGGCCTGCAGGCACCTCATACCTCCACCACAGAGAGGCTGTTATATTGTCCAGTGCTTCTCCTGCCTGGGGGTCACATGAATGGAAGAATCAGAGCCAGAAGTCCCTTCTTCTTGCAGTGTCCTTCTTGCACCCTCTATTGACAAAACCTAACAAAGTGCTTGCTGCAAAGGAGAACCGCTTACAGGGTCCAGCTGGTTAACACAGAGCAAATAGTAGAGTAGCTTTTGAGCTGAGCAGTAATACACTGATAAGTGGCACACTCACTAAGATCGCGTTTATGAAACCCATCTAATTGTTCCATAGAACTGATGTTTAATAGTTTCTTTTGAATAAACCTAGAAATTGACCCTCCCAGTCTTGAAACTTAAGAAAGTTACATTTCTCTTATGTGAGCTCCTTTCTCAGGAAACCAACCATCAGGATCTCCCACATGCTATCCAGGAAGTGAAACTTACCAGATCACCACATCTGGACAATGAGACACCAGACCCCTCATCTATCATGATTGCATAAGTGACCACTTACTTCCTATGGATGAACTCTTCCTTACCCCTCCCTAATTCTTGTTTTTGTGGGTGAAGTTTCATTTCTTCTGTGCTATATAAACCCTTGATTTTAGTTGGCCAGGGAGATGGATTTGAGACTGATCTCTCATTTCTTCAGCTGAAGCACCTGATTAAAGCCTTGCTCCTTGGCAATACTCATTGTCTCAGTGATTGGCTTTCTGTGCAGCAAGCAGCAAAACCTAGACTGAACCCCTGGTATTTCCGTGACATTTAGACACTAAACCTTCTTTTGTGTTTCTTCTCTTTCTTCCTTTTGAAAATCTTTTTGTGTTTTTATAATAGCGATACAAAAATTAGCAAAAGAGCCTCTCCTGTCTTGTTCCTTTGCTCAGGCCTGCAGGATGGGCAAGCATCAGGGTCTTTGAACCGCCAGTATTGAGTGCTATAGCTACTAATGGGATGAGAAATATCATGATAAACATACAAGGAGACCCATCTGGGCACAGCCCTTAAGG
The DNA here is from genome assembly GCF_000001405.40 of Homo sapiens. NCBI lineage: Eukaryota > Metazoa > Chordata > Mammalia > Primates > Hominidae > Homo > Homo sapiens. Next base: position 83,369,489 of record NC_000004.12, on the reverse strand, counting down.
CCAGCCCCTTTGGAGGCACTTCCCATGCAAAGGGAATTGTGCTGGTAAAGTAGGGATTAAAGCCAAGCAGCCCAATTTGGCCATGCATCTGTTCAAGCAGTGATGGCTGCTCAAACTTTAATGAGGAAAATGATGAAGGCCGTTGGATGTGGCTACAGAGAAGTCCCCAGTATTCAAAGATACCACAATGTTACCCAATTTACTTACCTACACCTTACCTCTGGTGGCTGGATTTGATCACAAGGATCATGCTGTTTGTGACTTTCCTGGAGTCAGCCTTTGCCAAAGGAGCCAGTGCTTCTCTTTTGAGAGACAAAAAAAGGCCAAGATCATAAGTTTTGATGATGTTAACATGGCAGTAATACATTTTCATAAAATGTAGTTATCATATTTATATTTTACATATTTTTATATTAAAATATATTTTAAGATAAGCCTGGGCAATATAGTGAGACCTCATCTCTATCAAAAATTTTTAAAAATTAGCCTGGTGTGGTGGCACACACCTGCAGTCCCAGCTACTTGAGAGGTTAAGGTGGGAGGATCATTTGAGCCCGGGAGGTTGAGGCTGCAGTGAGCCATGATTGTGCACTGCACTCCAGCCTCGGCAACAGACTTTGTCTCCAAAATATATATATTCTTTTTTCAAAAAAAATTGCCAAAGAAAATAGAATCACATTGTATTTTTCATATTTTTTCCATTGTATAACACATTGTCATTATTATACTGAGAGGAGATAGAGAGGAGACCATGCAAAGCACCATAAAAAGTTTTTTCATGTTCTGTTGTCTGTGTTGATTGACCTCCAAAGTTAATTTCAAATAATGTGCTCAGCATTTACATGTGACTTCAGAGCTGAGCAAACCCATCAGGCACAGAGCTTATTTAACTCCTGAAACTTGCAAAAATTTTTTAAAAAGTCTGAACCACTCACTATATTATACGCTTCCTGTTCCCATATATTAGGAAATAGCTTTACATTACTTGTATTGCAGGATTATTTTTTTTTTTTTGGTGTTTTAATTGTGCACTTACATGTATTAGAAAAGCTATTCATTTTTCTAGTGATCAATAGAAAAATGTTCTAAAAATCATCAATTGCCTTCAGCTTTATGGGGTGATTTTAGAAATTATTATTATGTTCTTCCATTTCTGGGAACATTACCATTTAGAGGATTAATGGTAATTAGTGAGAAGCATAATACAGTATATTTAATGAAAGATACCATTAATGTTATTCTATTTATGTCAACTTTTGTGAATGAAAGAAATGCTTTAAAATATTTGTTAATTTGATGATCGGATAAGTATAGGTAAATAGATTGGGGAACACTGTGGTGTCTTTGAATACTGGGGACATCTCTGTAGCTGCATCCAATGGCCTATTCTGAGTCCTCATTCTCTCTGACCTCTTTGAAATGGTGAATTCTGTCCATCAGTCCCACACCGTTCTTTATTCTATGGGGCCTAAAAGGCACTGAGTCTCCTCTTCTCTGTCCACTACTCCATACCTCTGTTTGCTCTTCTTTCCCTCTAACCTGGGGGTACATCAGACAGTCCTTATTCTCCTCCTCTTCACTACAATTATAGGATTAAAAGACATCTTGCTGGTCATACATTCCAAATTCTTTCCCCCAAATTACCTGTCTTTAAAGGTTTCCACAAACAAACCATGAAACTCACATATCCATCTACATGCTCACAGCTAGGGCTCTAGAAGAACAGAACCATGAATCAGAAAATCTGGATTTAAACCCCATATTTATTCACTCCTTATGTGAACCTGAGGGTGCCACTTTGCCTCTGTGAACCTCAGATTCCATATCTGTAAAATGGAGATCTCTGCACTACCTTGCTGTGAAGGTCACATGGGAAGATAGACACGAAAGCGCTTTGCAAGGAATAATTCCTTCAGCAAGACCTTACAAAAATGCAGGCATGACTGAGGCAATTTTACACTTACTATTTCATTTGATTCTAACAACAATCCTGTACGGTATATATTATTATTATTATTTTACAAAATGAGAGAAATTGGAGCTTAGAATGCTTGAGTATCTTGTCAAGGCCACAAAGCTAGTATGAGAGCTGAGATTAGAACCTTCTGTGTTTTAATTCCAAAGCTCCCCGCAAAGCATCAGTCAAGGTTCTTGGTTGCAGGTGACAGAAACTGACTCTGACAAGTCTAATAGGAGAAAAGTGGAGGTTTACAATATTGGCCAGAGGCCTGAGGACCAGACTTGGAAAACTAGCTGGAACAAAGGCAACTCCAGAGAACAAGGGAGGAAGAAGCGTATAGTCTTCTTTTCACCATGACAGTCAAGAGGGACACTGTGACACCAGACACTGCTGTCATCTCAACAGTGTCACTGCAGTGGTCACGAACAAATCCTCGGTGTCACATGGTCCAGATTCAAAGTGCCAAGTGAGCATCAGATTGGTAGAACTTGGAACATACAACCTGACCCTGGCCACAAAGGGAAGCAAGAGAGGTGTCCTTCCAATTCCTCTTCGACAATAAGAAGGAGGGCACTGTGACATGCCAGGCAGGGCCCCTTCCAGTTTCTGAACACGCCCCCCTGATCCCCACATACACCCCCACACACTCACACACACCTTTTCTTTCCTACCTCCTCAGAAGATGAAGTGTTTTCTCTCTTGTTGAAAGCTAATCTTTTTTATCTCTTTTTGAAGCAGATATCTTCCCTCTTTCTTCATCTCTCCCTGATTTTAACTTCTCTACTCTACTTGTCTTCAATCCATGAACAAAGGAGTTTAAGTCTCTCCAATAGCTACCAATGAGATTCACACAATGAAGCTGCTGGGTTCCACCATAAATTCATAATCCCCAACCTCAAATGGGCCTCAGCCCTGCCCAGAAATCACATGCGTTTCTCACATCACCTCCCTCTTCTACCCACCAGAACAACAGCTTCACATCTCCATACCCGTCAGATCCCTGAAGGATGTGAGTTTTGTTGCCCTCCAGGATGGAGGGGAAAACCTATCTTCCCTCTCTCAGAAGTGAACGGTAAATGACTTCACAGCCTCAACTAGGAGTGGAAGCAAAGTGTGGACTCTGGGGGCACAGTAGAGGAGACAAGAGCAAGGAAGGAAGTAGATTTGCCTAAGACCCTCCTAAGCTGCTTCCAGATGGGCTGAGACATGACCCAGCTGAGAATGTAAAGAAATGTTTTGCAGTTCTTTCTGGTAATGGTCTGAATCTATATCTAGGTCTTGGGGACAAAGCCCCAGAGTTACATAAGAATACGGTTTCTATAAAGGATGTATCATCACATGTCAGATGAAGAAAGGAGGGCACGTTCAGAAGGTGGTGTTGGAATAATTAGTTTAAAATTCAGATAAATAAAAACTGTTTAGGTTCTTACCTCAATAATACCAAAATAAGCTCAAGACACTTTAAAGATACATACATTACAAGAACAAAAATTAATAAGCTAAACTATAATTCAAAAAATGAGAAACTATAAGTTGAAGGAAAGCTGACAAACTTTAGGGCATACTTAACTACATTAAAAAAATTTAACTCTTATGTGTAAAAATATAACTAGAACTCGGCACAGTGGTGTGTGCCTGTAATCCCAGCTACTTGGAAGGCTGAGTGGGGAGGATTGCTTGAGCCCAGAGTTCAAGGCCAGCCTGGGAAACATAGCAAGGCTCACTGCAACCTCCGCCTCCTGAGTAGATTGTAGTGGCACATGCCTGTAATCCCAGCTACTCGGGAGGCTAAGGCGATTCTCCAGATCAGCCCGTCTCGGCCTCCCAACGTGCTGGGATTACAGGCATGAGCCACCACGCCTGGCCAGTTAGTGTATTTTTACCAAAATTGCCACATAAGTATGGTATGAAAAATGCTGAGAGCAAAATCGTTTCGTTGGCAAAGGACATTGTTGCAGGCTGAATTAGGTCTCCCCACAAATTCATTTGTCGAAATCCTAACCCCCAGTACCTCAGAAGGTGACTGTATTTTGAGATACGGTCTTTAAAGAGGTAACTGAGGTTAAAAGAAGTCATGAGAGTTGACTTCAACACCAGTCATGTTGATTAATCCAACATGACTGATGTCCCTCTAAGAAGAGATTAGGACACAGACACACACACAAAGGGAAGACTGTGTGAAAGTGCAGGGAGAAGATGGCCATTTACAAGCCAAGGGGAAGAAATCACACCTGCCCGACACCTAGATCTTGGATTTCTAACCTCCAGAATTGTGAAAATTTTCTGTTGGTTAAGCTCCTCAGTCTGTGGCACTTTGTTATGGCAGCCCTAGCAAAGTAATACAGACATAAATGATAGTTCACAGACGAGAATACAATTAATAAATAAAAGTATGTATTCAACAAGCCAGAAGGGAAACCTTCACAAACGTGGTGACATTTGAGCTTGATCCTGAAAAATAAAGAACTGTTGACATGCAATCCTCCTGTAATTATTACTCTGTGTTGGTTTGCTTGTTTTTAAAGAAAACATGGCCGGGCGCGGTGGTTCACACCTGTAATCCCAGCACTTTAGGAGGTCAAGGCGGGCGGGTCACCTGAGGTCAGGAGTCTGAGACCAGCCTGGCCAACATGGTGAAGCCCCGTCTCTACTAAAAATACAAAAATTAGCTGGGCATGGTGGCGGGTGCCTGTAATCCCAGCTACTCGGGAGGCTGAGGCAGCAGAATCATTTGAACCCGGGAGGCGGAGGTTGCATTGAGCCGAGATCATGCCATTGCACTCCAGGGTGAGACTCCGTGTCAAAAAAAAAAAAAAAGCACTTCACATTTTGCCAAAGATGAGTACATTTGAAACACCAAACTTAATTTTGTAATTTTATATGTACAAAATAAGCACAGGCAAGAAACTCATTTCAGGCTTGTTCAAACAGGAATGTGTGCCAGATACAATCTAAAAGTCATCTGCATTGCTTTGATAGGGTTTTGTGGTGAGCTAATCTTAGGGCAACAGATGACAGATAGATTGGATACTTTGAATGACCATTCACCATTGCTGTGGCATTTTTGCCGTAGTCAGCGCTGGGTCTGCAGCTGCCCCATGGGGGTGGATGTGGTGGACAGCCACACGGCTGCCATCCTAACTCCCTTCTAGTGTGCCCTCATGAGCTGCAGAGTTGGGAAAATCAAAACCCACACTTTGCTTCCCAGACTTCCTTGCAGCCAGGTTCTAGATATGAAGCAGATTAAGCAATGAGCCACATGCACCACTCTACTGCTCTGACCACCCAGATCACCTGGGGATGCTTGATTTTGCCTTACCTCAGCTTCCATGTCTGTAAAACGGGGATAATAACAGTATCTACCTCATCTTTTTTTTTTTTTTTTTTTTTTTTTTAGACAGAGTCTCATTCTGTTATCCAGGCTGGAGTGCAGTGGCATGATCTTGGCTCACTGCAACCTCCGCCTCCCAGGTTCAAGCAATTCTCCTGCCTCAGCCACCCGAGTAGCTGGGACTACAGGCACGTGCCACCACTCCCAGCTAATTTTTTAATATTTTTAGTAGAGATGGGGTTCCACCATGTTGGTCAGGCTGGTCTCGAACTTCTGACCTCAAATGGCCAGCCCACCTTGGCCTCCTAAAGTGCTGAGATTACGGGCGTGAGCCACCGCACCCAGTCTTCATCGGGTTTTTATGAGAACTGAGTGAGTTAAGCATACAAATTGATTACCATGGTACATAGTTAAAATCAATAAATGTTAGTGCTATTATAATTATTATTGTCGTTGTTTTGAGGGTGGGAGTGAGGCAGAGGCCATCTTTCCTGTTGTGCTGTCTTCCTCTGGCAAGCACTGCTCTCAATCCCCAGGGGCTTTCTATAGCAGGGTTCCAGTGGCCACCATTAGCTTCATGGGTGTCCAGCAGCAGCTGCCCTGGATCAAGGTTGTGGAGGTGGGTCCTTGAAGTCAACACACCCTCTTCTGCCTCTAATTCCCTGTTGGGCCAATTCTGCAGTGTGTTCCTGAGAATCATCTCAGAGGCCCAGCCTAGAGCCCTTTCTCCTAGCCCCTTCAATAATTTTATAAGTGCTTAATTACCTTTCAAAAAAATTCTTTTCTGCTTAAAACACACAGAGTGGCGTCTATTTCCTATAACTGAATCTTGAATGATGTACCCATGTGAACCTCTTTCTCAGTTTCTCTTTGCCCCGTTTCTAGTTGTGAAGATACACAGGAAGATTAGTTTAGGAAAAGGATTCTGCGTGCTAGATACAGGAACCGCAGAGCTGTGTCAGTGTGGACAAAGCCCAGCCTGGAACACAGGTCTCCATTCTTCTTTTTTGTTAGCTCAGACTCCAAAGAAGGCGGCCTGTCCAGATCTGCTAGCTGATCCTGTGATCACTCCCATCTTCCCATGGAGCCCAACCGCAGAGAATGGGAGGAAAGTAATTTACATTTAATTTATTGACTTAGTTCAGGCTGCTGTAACAAGTACAAAGTACCATTGACTGGGAGGCTTATAAACAGTAGCTGCTGCTCACAGCTCTGGAGGTTGGAAGTCTAAGATCTAGGTGCCGGCAGAGTCAATGTCTGGTGAATGGATGGATAGATGACACTTTCTCACTATGTCCTCACATGGTGGAAGGAGTACGAGAGCTCTCTGGATCCCTTTTCTAAGGGCACTCATCCCATTCATGAGGGCTCTGCCCCCATGACCTAATCATTTTCCAATTTCCCCACCTCCTCATATCATCCCCTTGGGCATTGGGTTTCAGCATATGATTTTTAGGGGGACACAAACATTCAGTCTATGGCACTGACATTCTCTATTTATGTGTTGGACACTCCCTCTAGAGGCCAGAGACCATTCTTAGTCATTTCATATCCCCACTATTGGCACAATCTATTACATGCTCATTAAATGCCGAACTGAGCTGTTAAGCAGAGTCTGTTATAGAATTCATGGATCTCCACGGGAAAGTAAAAGTTTCTGAGTATATGAAGGGAAAATTGCAATGTGGTTATCTCTATACAGGTTCAGTTTGGTTTTTTTGGTTGAACACTTTATTTGCTTTGAGCTGGGAAAGGAAACCCTAATCTGGTAAAACTTAATGAAACTGTTTGGTCCATAATCCTTATTGCACTATTTTTCTTCTAAATAAGTTAATTTTTTTAAAGATTCAGATTCTGTGACTAATATTTAGTAAATTGCCTTTACTTCCTAGTCAGAGTTCTTTGGATTACAAGTAAGAGAAATCCAAGTGAAGTAACCTAGGATGAAATGGAGGCTTTATTGTAAAATGCAGGGGTATTTCATAGATCCCAAGGCAGAATATACTCTCAGGTTCACAAGGGACTGGCACCAGGAACCAGAAATCTACCAGAAACCAGCTGCTTTGTCTCCCCCAGGCTACTAGGCCATTATCTACCTTTGATTTTCTAGGCCTAGCTGCTTCCCTTTCTCTCTCTGCAAATGGGCTCCTTGGCCTCTACAGATATGTCATGTGAGGGATGATGACAGCACCAAAATAGTAGCCTCAGAAACCCATTTACAAGGCCTGGCATTTGCATATCAATAGGTACTCTCCTGGGTCTGTCTCAATTTCCCAGAAAACAGCGACCGAGCTTAAATTAGATTCCCATTCTTGGTCCATCAGCTGTGACCAGGAAACAGTGGCTATCACATAGAACAAATGCACAGAATCAACCGCACAGAAATGAACTCTGTGGACTGGTGGGAGGAGCAGTTCTTGGAGGCAGGAAGCAGAGGCAAACATACCAGAGCATTTGGGTGACAATACCCCAGAGAACAAAGACTTTGTAAGTTTAATGTGAAATTAATGTAACTGTTAAACCACATATAGGAAGACCATGACCTTCACATTTACAAAGTGGTGCTCTTTGCATATGAATATGTACACTTGCCCCTCCACATCAACAAAGCAGCTGACCTAATTCAACCAACTGCAGATCAAAAATATTAAGAAAAAGGCCAGGCGCGGTGGCTCATGCCTGTAACTCCAGCACTTTGGGAGGCCGAGGCAAGTGGATCACTTGAGGTCAGGAGTTCAAGACCAGCCTGGCCAACATGGTGAAAACCCGTCTCCACTAAAAATACAAAAATTAGCTGGGAGTGGTGGCATGCACCTGTAATCCTAGCTACTGGAAAAGCTGAGGCACAAGAATCACTTGAACCCAGGAGGCAGAGGTTACAGTGGGCCGAGATCATGCCACTCCAGCCTGGGCAACAGAGCAAGACTGTTTAAAAAAAAAAAAATCAAAATAACAATATATCAGTAAAAAAAATGCAAATGCAAATATAGTATAACAACTATTTACATAGCATTCAGATTGTATTAGGTATTATCTTTTTCCTTTCTTTCTTTTTTTAAATTTTTTTATTTTTGAGACAGGGTCTCTCTCAATTACCCAGTCTGGAGTACAGTGATACAATCATGGCTCATGGCAGCCTCGAACTCCTGGGCTCAAGGGATCCTCTAACCTCAGCCTCCTGAGAAGCTAGGACTACAGGTGCAAGCCAACACACACAGCTAATTTTTAAATGTTTTTGTAGACACAGGATCTGGTTTTGTTGCCCAGGTTGGTCTTGAACTCCTTGTCTGAAGTGATCCTCCTGCCTCAGCCTCCCAAAGTGCTGGGATTACAGGCATGAGCCATGGTGCCTGGCCTGTATTAGGAATTATAAGTAATTTACAGACAATTTAAAGCATGCAGGAGGATGTAGATAGGTTATATGCAAATACTACACCATTTTATATTAGGGATTTAAGCATCAGGGATTTTGGTATCCATGGGGGTCCTGGAACCAGTCCCCCCATGGATACTGTATTAGTCAGGGTCCTCTAGAGGGACAGAACTAATAGGATATATATATACGGGAATTTATTAAGTATTAACTCACATGATCACAATATCCCACAATAGGCCATCTGCACGCTGAGGAGAAAGGAGAGCCAGTCCGAGTCCCCAAACTGAAGAACATGGAGTCCGATGTTCGAGGGCAGGAAGCATCCAGCACGGGAGAAAGATGTAGACTGGGAGGCTAGGCCAGTCTCGTTTTTTCACATTTTTCGCCTGCTTTATATTCTAGCCACGCTGGCAACTGATTAGATGGTGCCCACCCAGATTAAAGGTGGGTCTGCCTTTCCCAGCTCGCTAACACAAATCTTTGGCAACACCCTCACAGACACACCCAGGATCAATACTTTGCATCCTTCATTCCAATCAAGTTGACACTCAGTATTAACCACCACGGATACTGAGGGAACCACTGTGTTCTCATATAGCAACTTAAAATAGCCCACATTAGCTCAGTGGCTTTAGTGTTTCCCTTATGCAAGCAAGATGATGTGGCTACTCTGAAAATAGTTATCAAAGTAACTAGAAAGTTAATTAATGAGATAAATAAAAACAGAACTCTAGATGTTGCTTGGTGGCTAAATCGTGCTCAGCATGCAAATTAGGCCATTTGAAAGGGGCATCCATTTATTCAGGCCACTAGGGCACCATTTAAGAAATTATTATTCCGGTAAATGAGGGTCAATGGGACCCTAGTGACCGAAAAATTTGAGGTTATTTCCAAAAGCACTAATTTGTACCCAGGGAGTACAAAGAAGAATCTGGGAGGAATAAATAGCTGGATAAATAATGCAAAAGCAGAGAGTCTGGGCCAAGGTGGAACCCTATTTGAAAGATCAGGTACTGATGGTAAGTTTTAAAGTGTCTTTTACAGAAAGATGATAATAGCAAATTGATTGACACAGTGCTTTGACATTTGGGTGTCAGTATTTAGGGCAGGTACCGTATGAATTCACAGATAAATTCACAGCTCAAGCTAAGTTTGAGTTTGGGACTGAAACCAAAAAATGGCAATGTGAGCTTTGGGCAAGAGGAGCAGGCTCCTATTCTCACACAGTTCCTGGTATCGATGCTTTCTGCAACCTGCCCTCCTCACTGCTTATCTAAAGCAGATCCACTGTGGCACATATATTGTTAGTGCAAGGGTTTTTTTTTTCCCTATGTCCACATGGGTGATTTTTGTGCACAGAAAGTTATTTTTATTTAAAAATTAACATTCAAATTGTTCAAAATCTAATTATTTCTTTAGCTTTCAAGAAGTCACAGTTGTTTTTTTGTTTTCTGTTTTTAGATGGGGGTCTCACTCTGCTGCCCAGGCTGGAGTGCAGTGGCATGATCATAGATTACTGCAGTCTTGACTTCAGGGACCCAAGTGATTCTCCCACCTCAGCCTCCCAAGTAGCTGGGACCACAGGCGTGCACCACCACGCCCAACTAATTACTTATTTTTTTTCATTTTTTTTGTAAATATGGAGTTTTCCTATGTTGCCTAGGCTGGTCTTGGACCCCTGGGCTCAAGCAGTCCTCCCACCTTGGCTCCCAAAGTGCTAGGATTATAGGCATGAGCCACTGCATTCAGTCAGAAGTCACGGTTTTAAAAACATGTAATACTCCTTATAAATCTAGACAATTTCAACACTTACTTTAAAGAACAAAGGTTAATTTAATTGAGTAAATTTCCTTAAATATTTCCAACTATATTTATACATTTAACATATTTGATTTTCCTTTCAAGTACTGCTTAAACAAAACTTTCCCATTTTCTTAGGTAAGTTAATATCTAATAAATTAAACCAATAATATTTCAACTTAAAATCATGAGCTAAATCAATTGCTCAATTACACACTTAAGAATTACAAAGCTAAAGTATTACTCTAATCGGCCAAATTCTCTTAAATGTTTCCATATCAAACATGTACAGTTTCTTTAACCCCAAAATATTCAAGTATAGGTGAAATTTCTGGTAAACATTCCTATACTTAATCCTCTCTGAGGTTGAAAGATGCTTACTCACCAAGGAAAAGATTATGTCATTCCACATTCTTGCAGAACAACCAGAGGTTTTAGCTAGGACATTAGGCCTGGACTGCAGACCTCCAGGATGGCTTTCCTCACAAGCCTGACCTAGGTTGAAGTCCCTTTTGTAATTTCTATAGTTTTTCATGCCATACCTTAAAAGGGGCATGGTCACTTACAGGGCTGACTTACTCAGAATTAGGCAGAAGGGCATAGTGTCTAGAGCCTACAATACTTACAGATGCCCACAAATGTGTTCTAATTTTTATTTCTTTTTAAATCAGGACAAAAATTAATAAAATAATAATGCACATATAACATTGAATCCATTTGGATTATGTTTATCTGTATACCAATGCAGTGCTAAAATATAATTTCTAATTCATTTTCCCACAAAGGCAAAAGTGCCCAGAGCCCATGAGAGTCATAATGTGGCCCTGGTCACTTAGCCCACATCCCTGAGTGTGAATCCTATCATGACCTAATTATTATTATTTTTTTTTTTTTTTTTTTTTTGAGACAGAGTCTAGCTCTGTCACCCAGCCTGGAGTGTAGTGGTGCAATCTCGGCTCACTGCAAGCTCCACCTCCCAGGTTCACGCCATTCTTCTGCCTCAGCCTCCCAAGTAGCTGGGATTACAGGCACCCGCCACCATGCCCAGCTATTTTTTTGTATTTTTAGTAGAGATGGGGTTTCACCATGTTAGCTAGGATGGTCTCGACCTCCTGACCTCGCGATCCACCCGCCTCAGCCTCCCAAAGTGCTGGGATTTCGTAAAGCAACTTACAGAACTCTGACACCCCACTTAGACTGGCCCATTGTGCCAATGCACTTTGCATTTCTTTGGCTCTGTAGATATTTATGTATCTGAATTCACAGAATTCTGAATTCTTTTTAAATTTTTGCTATCTTGAAGGGTATACAACCCTTATATATGTTAAAATGTTATCCAATTAGCAAAAAATTCAACAGTCATTTCATAAAGGAACCTATTCAAATGGCAAATAAGCACATAAAGAACATTATTAGTCATCATAGAAATGAAAAAGAAAACCACGATGAGGTGGATTATACACCCACCAGAATGGCTAAAATTTTAAAAACTGGCAACATGAAGTGTTGGTCTAATGGAACCACGAGAGCTCTCATACATTGTTCATGGGAGTGTAAAATGATACAACCACTTTGGAAAAACTTTTGGCAGTTTCATACCAATCCTATGACTCAGAAGTTCCACTCCTAGTTATTTACCCTTGAGAAATGAAAACATAGCTCTACAAAAAGAGTGAGATAAGAATGTTCTTAGCAGCTTTATTCATAATACCAAAACTTGTCAACAACCTCACATGCCCATCAATAGGAAAATAGATAAACAAGCTATGATATATTCACGCAATGGAAACTACTTAGAAAAAAATGAATAAACTCAGATACATTCAATAGCCTGAACTAATTTCAAAAAACACTGTGCTGAGTAAAAAGAACTTAACACAAAGAGTGTGTAACCTGTAATTCTTCTTCCTCTTCAAGTTCTAGAGCAAGCTAAACTAATTTATGATGGACAAAGTCAGAACAGTGCTTGCCTCTGGGTATGGGGGCGGGGATTTACTGGGAAAGGGCTTAAAGGGACTTTCTGGAGTGATAGACATTTGGATTTATGAATTTGTCAAAACTCATCCAATGTTACACTCAAGATTTGTATATTTTATTGTAGGTAAATTTTACCTAAAAGCAAAAAGAACCATAAACAAATGTCGAACTCTAGTTCATAATACGAATGTTGAAGTCTTTATTTTTTTTCTTTGCTTAGAGATAGGGTCTCACTCTATCACCCAGGCTGGAGTGCAGTGGTGCAATCATAGCTCACTCTAACCTTGAACTCCTAGGCTCAAGCAATCCTCCCACCTCAACCTCCCAAAGCGCTGAGATTATGATTACGGTCAGATGGAGCAAGAACCCTCTCTTAGTAGCCTGTGAGCCTCCAAACATGGAAATAAAGGAAAATTCTGAGTTCCTTCAAATGAAATTCCAGGCACTTAGCTAGCCCTGAGAAGTAAATAAGCAACCTGACAAGCAGAAGGTAACAGTAGCCTAAAACAATAGACGAGGAAGTTAGAGTCAGATGCTTGGTTCCTCTAGAGAAACTAAAGATAACAACTTTCTTTTTTGTTTCTTCTTTTTTTTTTTTTTTTTTTTTTTTTTTTTTTGAGACAGGGTCTCACGCTGTTGCCCAGGCTGGAGTGCAGTGGCACGATCTCAGCTCACTGCAATCTCCGCTTCCCAGGTTCAAGCGATTCTCCTGCCTCAGCCTCCCAAGTAGCTGGGATTACACGTGTGCACCACCAGGCCTGACTAGTTTTTGCATTTTTAGTAGAGATGGGGTTTTGCCATGTTGCCCAGGCTGGTCTTGAACTCCTGAGCTCAGGCAATCCACCTGCCTCCGCCTCCCAAAGTGCTGGGCCTGGCCCTAAATATAACATCTTAATATATATCCCTGAGTTGTTTTTCAGAAACCTGGATCTCCACCAAATGGATCCACTGACACATCGACCTCAGATAAGCAGGAACTGAAGACTGAACTCTGAGCACCGTTCTTTGTTCTAAATTTCTTCCTGAGGGGTCTGGAGGGAGTTGCACCCATAAGCCAGAGCTAACATTCTTTTCTGCTGATCCCAAATTTTTAAATAAAGCTTCCCTTCTGGCCAGGCACGGTGGCTCACTCCTGTAATTCCAGCACTTTGGGAGGCCGAGGAGGGCGGATTGCCTGAGCTCAGGAGTTAGAGACCAGCCTGGTCAACATGGCAAAACCCCATCTCTACCAAAAAATACAAAAATTAGCCGGGTGTGGTGGCGCACACCTGTAATCTCAGCTACTCAGGAGGCTGAGGCAGGATAATTGCTTCAACCCAGGAGGTGGAGGCTGCAGTGAGCCCAGATCGTGCCACTGCACTCCAGCCTGGGCGATACAGTGAGACTCCGTCCACCACTCCCACCCCGCCCCCCGAAAAACTTCCCTTCCTTAACCAATTGCAAATCAGAAAATCTTTGAATCTACCTCTGACCTCTAAGCCCCATCCACCCTTCAAGATATCCCACCCTTTTAAGGCAAAACCAGTGTGTTACCTTCACGTATTGAGTTACAATTTTGCCTATAACTTCTGCTTTCCTGAAATTTACCCCTGCCTTGAAAAACCCTTACTTTCAAGCCATCCAGGAGGTCAGGATTTAAGCATTAGCTGCCTGATCCTCCCTGAAAATAAATGTCTTCCTTACTTTTTTAAAATTTATTTTTTTAATATAGAGATAGAGGTCTTGCTATGTTGTCCAGGGTGGTCTCAAATGCCTGGCCTCAAGCGATCCTCCCACCTCAGCCTCCCAAAGTGCTAGGATTACAGGCATGAGCTACCACACCTGGCCCACATCTTCCTTTCTACTGCTGTAAAACCTCAGTGTGGATATCTGGTTTCACTGCTCCAGGCAAGTGAACCCCACTTTGGTTCCTTTTTTTCACCCTTTTTTGAGATAGGGTCCCATTCTGTCACCCAATCTGGAGTGCAGTGGCTCACTGCAGCCTCAACCCCCTGGGCTCAAGTGATCCTCCCACCTCAGCCTCACAAGTAGCTGGGACTACAATCACATGCCATCACGACCAGCTATTTTTTTTTTTTTCGGTAGAGACAGGGTCTTGCTATGTTGCCCAAGCTTGTCTCAAACTCCTGGGCTCAAATGATCCTGCTGCCTCGGCCTCCCAAAGGGTTGTGGTTACAGGTGTGAGCCACCACACCTGCCCCAAGTTCAGTTCTGTAACAACAGGCGTGAGCCACTGCACCTGGCCTGAATGTTGCGGTCTTTGAGGGTAAAGTATACTAAGGTCTACAGCTTATAGATATTCAAATATTTCAAAAAATAAGATAGTCAACAAATAATTTAAATAGATATTTCCCCCAAAGAAGAATGACCAATAAGCATATGAAAAGATCAGCATCATTTTTCACTAGGGAAATGTACATCAAAACCACAATAAGATATCAACTTGGTAAAAGAGTTCAGAACATAATGCACCAAAATATACCACTTTTGCATATTGATTATTTTGAACTAAAAGCACTTGAGTAACAGCAGATGTAGGAATTCTCTGATCTCCCCCCGCTTTTTTTTTTCACCAAATAGCAGATGATAAAGCTTCCTGTGAGAAAGTTGTCCTCCTTGTAGCAGGAAGAAAAGAACATTCTTATCAACAGAAACTAAGAGTTACCCTGAAAAGGATCTGTACAATTCTGAACATACTAAAATAGCTTTTATCTTCCACTAATTTACTCATATTTCCTAATCTCTATACCACAATTTACTGCTCTAGCCCGAGCCCCTTTGTCTTGTTACATCTCCACTAATTTAGTATTCTTTGTGGACAAAGGCATATAAGCTTTAGGGCCCAGTGGCTTCTTTGGGTCTTCATTACCCTTGTGAAGACTCCTATGTACATGTAAACATATTGAATGAACTTATATGCTTTTCTCCTATCGATCCATCTTATGTCAGTTTAAGTATTAGGCCCAGTCACAGAACCTAAGTAGGTAGAAGAAAATTTTTCCTTCCCTACGATGGATATAATTTAAAAAGACACACGATAATAAGTGTTGGTGAGGACGTGGAGAAAATAGAACCCTCATATATTGCTGATGGGATTATAACATGGTATAGTCACTGTAGAAAACAGGTTGATATTTCTTCAAAATGTTAAACGTAGAGTTATATGACTTGGCAATTCCACTCCTAGGTATATATCCAAAAGAATTGAAAATCTTGTACATGAATGTTCATAGGAGTATTACACATAATAGCCAAAGAGCAGAAGCAGCACAAATGTCCATCAACTGATAAATTGACAAATACAAGTGGTATATCCATATAAATGGAATATTATTCAGCCACAAAAAGGAATAAAGTACTGGTTTATGCTATAACATAGCATAACCTTGAAAACATTGTGCAAAGTGAAAGAAGCCAGACACAAAATGATACATATTGTATGAAATGTCCAGAATAGGCAAATCCATAAAGACAGAAGGTAGATAGCAAGTAAGAATTACTGCTAATGGATATGGAGTTTCTCTTTGGAGTGATGAGAATGTTACGGAATTAGATAGTATTGATGGTTGCACAACCTTGTGAATATACTAAAACCCCTGAATTGTACACTTTAAAATGGTGAATTTATGCTATGAGAATTGTATCTCAATTTAAAAAAATAAGATAGATTGATGAATAGAGAGAGGGATGATTGAATGGATAGACACATAGTTAATTGTAGAATCTAGGTGGTGGTTACAAACTTTTATGTATGTTTACAATTTTTATTATAATAAGAGGATAGAAATGATAGAAAACTTAAAATGTTTCCCTGTTCTGCAGGGTTGTGTCTGAGTTCTGGGGCACTTGCACAGTGCTGAGGAGTGATGCATGTCAGGAGTGAGGCCAGGAGCAGGCAGATGACAGGAGGAAGTGATCTTCCACTCATCTGTCCACCCAGGTATCACCTGGAACATCTATTGGTCCACCTGCCCCTCGGCCATCGGCAAGCCCTTTCTGTCAATTGCAGCTTCATCACTATTTTACAATATGTAATGTGAAAATGTTCAATTGTATCTAAAATTCATTTACTTTATCACAAAAAATTTCAACATTGTCTTTTTTAAGATTTGACTCTGGGTCAACATTATCTTTCTCATGAAAGAAAGGAATTGCTGTGAGATTCTTTTAATAAATACAACTGTTAAAATTTTTTAAATTGTTTATTACCTACTTGCATGAGCAAAGTTTTTATTAGGAATTTGAAGAGATTATTGAAAATCATTAATTAAGATGGTGGACAGACATTTCAAATACACTGAATATTAAATAGTTATGTTCTAGCCAGACATGGTGGCTCACACTTGTAATCCCAATACTTTGAGAGGCCGAGACAGGAGGATTGCTTCAGCCCAGGAGTTGGAGACCAGCTTGGGCAACATAACAAGACCCTGTCTCTACAAAAAAATTTTAAACTTAGCAGGGCATGATGATGTGCACCTGTAGTCCCAGTTACTTGGGAGGCTGAGGCAGAAGGATTGATTGAGCCTGGGAGATTGAGGCTGCAGTGAGCCATGATTGCACCACTGCACTCCAGCTTGGGTGACACTGTGAGACCTTGTCTCAAAAAAAAAAATGTTATCTTCATGAATTCAAGCTTTGATTAAGAAAATGTAAGAAACAGCATTTGGAGGTTGTTTACAAATAAAATATTTAGCAAACGTGTGGCCTGTATTTTATGCTTCTTATCATAATTATATAACATACAAAATGTATTTTACACCAAGGGTGTGCGGATTCCCTCGAAAGCATCAGCTTTCCCAGAGTGCTCTACAAATGCTGTCATTTTCTATGTGTGTCAAGGTGTGCAGTAGGTTAGGAAACTGCACCGTGGTGAGGTGTTAACTCTGAGGCACCTCACAGAATCTTAATGGATTTAGGTTTAGGCTTTTGAAAATAAAAGCTTGTTCTCTGCTTTTTTTTTGCCCCGCTGTGTCACATCCTACATTTGAAACAATGAGCCAAGCTTGCTACTTGTTCAAAAAAGAAGACTAGAAAGAAAAAAGGGACATAGAGTAACATCTCTAAAACAATTCCTAAGATGTGGTCCACAGACCTCCTAAGAGTCTGGAGACCCCTGCAAGGGGTCTGTGAAGTCAAAACTCTTTTCATAATAATATTAAAATGTCATTTGTTCCTTTCACCCTCATTCTCTCCTGAGAGGACAGTGCGATTTTCCAGACACTACATGATGTATTATGATGTAACAAATTTAATGTTGATATTCATGTAAGAATCCAGCCACCTTTTGTTAAGTGAGAATCCAGCCGCCTTTTGTTAAGTGAGACACTAAAGTGATTTGCAGATAAAACAATGCTACTTTTCTCGCTGATTTTCTTGTTTTAAACATAGTTTTTTTAATAAAAATATGCTATTTATATTAATATGAAATGTGTTTATGGCCAGGTGCAGTGGCTCATGCTTGTAATCCCACCACTTTGGAAGGACAAAGCAGGAGAATCACTTGAGGCCAGGAGTTCGAGACCAGCCTTGGCAACATAGCAAGACCCCCATTTCTACAAAAGATGTTTTTTAAAAATTAGCCAGGAGGAACAGAAAACCAAACATGGCATGTTCTCACTCATAAGTGGGAGCTGAACAATGAGGATACATGGACACAGGGAGATATCACACTCCGGTACCTGTCGGGGGGTGTGGGAGCTAGGGGAGGGAGAGCATTAGGACAAATACCTAATGCATGCGGAGCTTAAAACCTAGATGACAGGTTGATAGATGCAGCAAACCACCATGGCACATGTATATCTATGCAACAAACCTGCATGTTCTACACATGTGTCCCAGAACTTTAAAGTAAAATAATAAATACATAAATAAGCCAGGTGTGATGGTACTTGACAGCAGTCCTAGCTACTTGGAAGGCTGAGGTGAGAGGATTGCTTGAGCCCAAGAGTTTGAGGTTACAGTGAGTTATGATCATGCCACTGACCTTCAGCCTGGGTAACAGAACAAGATCCTGTCTCTAAAAGAAAAAAAGTATTTGTTATAGTTACTCTTAATTATTTAACAAATATTTTTTAAATGTCTCAGTTTTAATTTTTAGTGCATCAAATATTGCAGATGTAACCCATGTGAAAAAAACTCTTTGGAATCCCCAGTAATTTGTAATAGTGTAAATGGTTCCTGGGATCAGAAATTTTGAGAACTGCTGCCAAAGTTTTACGCTGCCACACATCTAATATGTAAAAAACTCTGCAGCTATTAAAATGGAGCATGAAAACATGTTTATTACAGTGAAAAGATATCCTTTTCAATTATTAAGTGGGTATAGTGTGATCTCATATTTAATTGAAATAAATATGTGTGTTTGTGTATGTATGTGTCTATTCATAGGGAAAAAAGTATGGAAGAACACATACCAATAATGCTAATTATTTCTAGCCTGTAAGATTATGACAATATTTACTTTATTCTCTATTCCTTTGCTATGTATACTAAATTTTAAAGCTTTTAAAAATCGTGGTAAAAAACACATAAAATTCACCATCTTAACCGTTTCCAAGTGAACAATCTAGTAGTGCTAAGTATATTCACGTGACTGTGAAACAGATCTACAAAACTTTTTATCTCGTAAAACTGAAACTCTATAACCATTGAAAAACAACTCCCCTTTTTGCCCTCCCCCTCATGCCTGGAAATCACTGTTTTACTTTCTGTTTCTATGTATTTGACTACTTTAGATACCTCATATAAATGGACTTAACAATACTTGTCTTTTTGTGACTGGTTTATTTCATTTAGCATAATATCCTCAGGGTAGTAGCATGTGTCAGAATTTCCTTCCTTTTTAAGACTGAATAATATTTTGTTGTGTGTACAAGAGGACTTCAAAAAGTTCTTGGGACCATGCGTGGTGGCTCACGCCTGTAATCCCAGCACTTTGGGAGGCCAAGGCAGGCACTTGAGGTCAGGAGTTCAAGACCAGCCTGGCCAACATGGTGAAACCCCGTCTCTACTAAAAATACAAAAATTAGCTGGGTGTGGTGGCATGCACCTGTACTTCCAGCTACTTGGGAGGCTGAGGCAGGAGAGTGGCTTGAATCCGGGAGGAGGAGGTTGCAGTGAGCCGAGATTATTTGATTAAAATACAAAAATAAAAAATGTAAACTTTGACTGGGCATGGTGGCTCACGCCTGTAACCCCAGCACTCTGGGAGGCCGAGGTGGGCAGATTGCTTGAGGTCAGGAGTTCAAGACCAGCCTGGCCAACATGGTGAAACCCTGTCTCTACGAAAAATACAAAAATTAGCCAAGCATGGTGGCATGCACCTATAATCCCAGCTACTCAGGAGGCTGAGGCAGGAGAATTGCTTGAACCCAGGAGGCGGAGGTTGTCATGAGCCGAGATCATGCCACTGTACTCCAGCCTAGGCGACAAAGTGAGACCGTGTCTCAAAAAACAAACAAACAAACAAACAAACAAAATATATATATATAAACTTTATTTCTGAACATAAGCTCCAGCAAAGATACCCTTCATTTAGTTTCTCCCTAAAGAACGGAGGGTCCTGGGAATGTAACCATGTCAATGCAGTCTTTTTAAAATTATTGACTGAAGAAAAATGGGTGCCCTTGAAAGATTTTTTAAGATTAGGAAACAAAAAGAAGTTAAAAGGTGCCAAACGGGACTTTAAGATGGATACCTAATGATTTCCCATAGAAGCTCTCACAAAATTACCCTTGTTTGATGAGAAAAATGAGTAGGAGGATGGTCATGGTGGAGAAGGACTCTGTGCTGAAGCTATCCCAGGCATTTTTCTGCTAAAGCTTTGGCTAATGTTCTCGAAACACTCTTATAATATGTAGATGTTATTGTTCTTTGGGCCTCCAGAAAGTCAATAAGCAAAATGCCTTGAGCATCCGCAGAAAAATGTCGCCATGACCTTTTGCTCTGGCCCAGTTCACTGTGCGTTGACTGGACCACTTCATCTCTTGGTAGCCATTGCTTTGATTGTGCTTTGTCTTCAGCCGTGTTCCATGTCCTGTTACAATTTTTCGAAGAAATGCCTCAGGATCTTGATCCCACTTGTTTAAAATTTCCATTGAAAGCTCTGCTCTTGCCTGCAGCTGGTTTATGTACACACCGAGTGGAAAGTTTGCTCAACTTTAATTTTTCAGTCAGAATTGTGTAAGCTGAACCAATTGAGATGTCTAATGGTGTTGGTTATTTCTCCTGCTATTGATCATCAGTCCTCTTCAGTTAAGACATGAACAAGGTTAATTTTCTTTTTTTGCAAATTGATGTGGATGGTCTGCCACTGTGGACTTAATATTCAACACTGTCTCAACCCTTCTTACAACAAGTAGTCCACTTGTAAACTGTTGATTTCTTTGGGTCATTGTCCTCATAAATATTTTGTAAAGCATCAATGATTTCACCATTCTTTTATCCAAGCTTCATCATAATTTTTTTTTTTTTTTTTGAGACAGAGTCTTGCTCTGTCACCCAGGCTGGAATGCAGTGGTACAATCTCAGGTCACTGCAACCTCCACCTCCTGGGTTCAAGCAATTCTCCTGCTTCAGCCTCCCAAGTAGCTGGGACTATAGGCGTGTGCTACTGTGCTTGGCTACTCTTTCTATTTTTAGTAGAGATGGGTTTTTGCCATGTTGGCCAGGCTGGTCTCACATGCCTGACCTGAAGTGATCCACCCACCTCAGCTTTCCAAAGTGCTGGGATTACAGGTGTGAGCCACTGCACCTGAGTCATACATTTTGTGTTTGTTCTTGTTTCAATTTTTGCAGAATTCATGTTGCTCTGATAGGGCTTGATATGGTCTGACTCTGTGTCCCCACCCAAATCTTATCTTGAATTGTAATCTGAATTGTAATCCTCTTGTGTTACAGGAGAGACCTCATTGGAGGTGATTTGATCATGGGGTGGTCCCCTCATGCTGCTGTTGTGATAGTGAGTGATTTCTCATGAGATCCCAATGGTTTTACATGGGGCTTTTCCCCTCTTTGCTCTGCACTTCTTTCTCTTGTCACCATGTGAAGAAGGATGTTTGCTTCCCCTTCTGCCATGATTGTAAGTTTCTTGAGGCCTCCCTGGTCATGCAGAACTGTGAGTCAATTAAACTACTTTTCTTTATGAATTACCCAGTCTTGGGTATGTCCTTATAGCAGCATGAGAATGGACTAATACAGTAAATTGATACCAAGGTAGTGTGGTCCTGCTGTAAAGATACTCAAAAAAGTGGCAGCTACTTTGGAACTGGGTAACAGACAGAGGTTGGAACAGTTTGGAGGACTCAGAAGAAGACAGGAAAATGTGGGAAAGTTTGGAACTTCCCAGAGACTTGGAGGGCCCAGAAGACAGGAAGATGTGGGAAAGTTTGGAACTTCCTAGAGACTAGTTGAATGGCTTTGACCAAAATGCTGACAGTAATATGGACAATGAAGTCCAGGCTGAGGTGGTCTCAGATAGAGATAAGGAACTTGTTGGGAACTGGAATAAAGGTCTTCTTGCTATGCTTTAGCAAAGAGACTGGCAGCATTTTGCCCCTGCCCTAGAGATCTGTGAAACTTTGAACTTGAAAGAGATGATTTAGGGTATCTGGAGGAAGAAATTTCTAAGTAAGTGGCAAAGCATTCAAGAGGAAGCAGAGCATAAAAGTTTGGAAAATTTGCAGCTTGACAATGCAATAGAAAAGAAAAACCCATTTTCTGGGGAGAAATTTAAGCCTGCTGCAGGAATCTGCATAAGTAACAAGGAGTTGAATGTTAATCACCAGGACAATGGGGAAAATGTCTCTAGGGCATGTCAGAGACCTTCAAGGCAACTCCTCCCATCACAGGCCTGGAGGACTAGGATGGAAAAATGGTTTCATGGGCTGGGCCCAGGGCCCCCTTGCTGTGTGCAGCCTAGGGACTTGGTGTCCTGCATCCCAGCAGCTCCAGCTGTGGCTAAAAGTGCTCAAGGTACAGCTAGAGCTATGGCTTCAGAGGGTGCAAGTCCCAAGCCTTGGCAGCTTCCACATGGTGTTGAGCCTGCAGGTGCACAGAAGTCAAGAATTGAGGTTTGGGAACCTCTGCTTAGATTTTAGAGGCTGTGTGGAAATGCCTAGATGTCCAGGCAGAAGTTTGCAGCAGTGGCAGAGCCCTCATGGAGAGCCTCTTCTAGGGCAGTGCAGAAGGGAAATACGGGGTTGGAGCCCCTACACAGAGTCACCACTGGGACACTGCCTAGTGGAGCTGTAAGAAGAGTGTCACTGTCCTCCAGACCCCAGAATGGTAGATCCACCAACAGCTTGCACTATGCACCTGGAAAAGCTGCAGGCACTCAACACCGACCCATGAAAACAGCCAGGAGCAGGGCTGCACACTGCAAAGCCACAGGGGAGGAGCTGCTCAAGGCTATGGGAGCCCACTTCTTGCATCAGCATGATCTGGATTTGAGACATGGAGTCAAAAGAGATCATTTTGGAACTTTAAGATTCAATGACGTCCTTATTAAATTTCAGACTTGCATAGGGCCCGTAGCCCCTCCGTTTTGGCCAATTTCTCCCATTTGGGATGGATGTATTTATCCAGTGCCCGTACCCCTATTGTATCTAGGAAGTAACTTACTTGCTTTTGATTTTACAAGCTCAGACGTGGAAGGGACTTGCCTTGTCTCAGATCAGACTCTGGATTTTGACTTTTGGGTTAATGTTGAAATGAGTTAAGGATTTGGAGAACTGTTGGGAAGGCACAGTTGTGTTTTGAAATGTGAAAAAGATGAGATTTGGGAGATCAGAGGTGGAATGATATAGTCTGGCTCTGTGTCTCCACCTAAATCTCATCTTGAATTGTAATCCCCACATGTTGGGGGAGGTACCTCGTGGGAGGTGATTAGATCATGGGGATGGTCCCCCATGCCATTCTTATGACAGGGAGTGAGTTCCCACAAGATCTGATGGCTTTATAATGCACTTTTCCCAACTTCATTCTGCACTTCTCCCTCCTGCCACCATGTGAAGAAGGAAATGTTTGCTTCCCCTTCCACTATGATTGTAAGTTTCCTGAGGCCTCCCCAGTCATGCAGAACTCTGAATCAATTAAATCACTTTTTTTAAAATAAATTACCCAGTCTCAGGTATGTCCTTATAGCAGCATGAGAATGGACTAATACAGGGGTCTTTTCAAAGTGATGTGTTATCCTTCTTAGTGCATCATATTAGATTCTGTCCAGACTTGTTATAACAAGTTAGTAGGACTTTATTTTGGTACAAAAAATTCAAAATCTATGCATAGTTTTTTCATAATATATATTTTCCATGAATGTTTTGAAGACCTTTTATATATACCACATGTTCTTTATTCATTCATCCATCTATTGACAATTGGGTGGTTTCTAAATATACTAACTTTTTTTTTTTTTTTTGAGATGGAATCTTGCTTTGTCACCCAGGTTGGAGTACAATGGTGCAATCTCGGCTCACTGCAACCTCCACCTTCTGGGTTCAAGTGATTCTCCTGCCTCAGCCTCCCAAGTAGCTGGGATTACAGGCATCCACCACCACGCCTGGCTAATTTTTTGTATTTTTAGTAGAGACGGGGTTTCACCATGTTAGCCAAGAAAGTCTTGATCTCCTGACCTCATGATCCGCCCACCTCAGCCTCCCAAAGTGCTGGGATTACAGGTGTGAGCCACCACACCTGGCATAAATAAACTAACTTTTTAAAAAGAACATGTATTCACTTTATAAACAGAAATAAAATAAAGCTATTTCCGTTTTGGAAAAATATAAAACATACTCCCTCACAAAGCACAGGTAACAAAGGGAAAAAAAAGAGAAGTACATAGGTCTTCAACTTAGTTGATCAGCCCTTTCTGCAGGACTCCTAGGAAGTTAATCAACCATGGTGGGGTGGGGAAGAAAGACTGTCCTGAATCCCAAAATCCATGAAGAAATAAGGGTTTGGGCTAGTTTTCTGCATATAAAATCTAGCAAAGCACCTGGAAGCTGAAATTTATTCTAATTTGACCCTTTCACTTTGAATATTGTATTCTCCCTGCTGGCTACTCACCATAGTCTCTTCTCTCCCATTTAATACAAATAAACCCATCCAGACAGTCACTGACTTTCACACATGCTGCAATGTGTATGACTGAGGAGTCTGTGAAAGTTTTCCATACTGTAAGGAGGACTCTGTCTCCAAAGAGCTAAAATCATTGTAAAATTCCCAATCGTATCTCACCTTTTAGAAAAGTCTGATGGTGTATTTCTAGCATTCTTTTTTAATGGCCATACAAGTTTTTAAAAAATGTTTTATTACAGACAATTTCAAATATATACAAAAGTAATAAACAGAATGGCATAACACATCCCAATTTCATTTATATTTTGCTATGTAACAAGTTACTCCAAATCCATGATATAAATCAAGAGCCATTATGCTCATAGATTCTGAAGATCAGGATTTGAACAGTGCATGGTAGAGATGGCTTCTTTCTGCTCCATGATGTCTGGGCTTCCACTGGAAAGACTAGAAAGGCTAGTGTAACTTGAATCACTAGGACCAGAATCATCTGCAAGTTTCTTCAGTCTTATGTCTGGTTCCGGGGTGGGATAACTTGAAGGCTGGGCTTGGTTGGGGCTATGGGCTGGAACATCTACACATGGTTTGTCCATTTGACTTGAGCTTCTCTCTTCCTTAAATAATGTTTTTCTTTAAAATAACTTTTTTCTTTTTTCCCTTTTTTTCTTTTCTTTTCTTTCTTTTTTTTTTTTTTTCCAAGAGATGTGGTCTTGCTATGTTGCCCAGGCTGCTCCTGAACTCCTGGGCTCAAGAGATCCTCCTGCCTTGGCCTCTCAAAGTGTTGGGATTATAGGCATGAGCCACCACGCTCAGCATGATTTGAGCTTCTCATAATATGGCAGCTGGGTTCCCAGACAGAGCATCCTCAGAAGAAGTGTCCGGGGAATAAGCATGCCAAGAGAATCAAGGTGGGAGCTGCGTGGCCTTTCATAGACTGGCCTCAGATGTCACATTGTTTTATTTGTTTTACTTTATTGATTAAAGCCTGCCTAATAGTCATGGGGAAAGGGCATAGATCCTTGCCTTTCTATGGGATGATGGAAAAGTCAAATTACAGACGAACATGGATGGAAAACATTACTGCTACATTTAAAAAATAAAATCTGCCACAACCATCATGTACTCATCACCCAGCTTCAATAATTTTTCACTCAGAGTCAATCTTGTTTTATCCATATCTGTACCTACTCCCTTTCTCCCTAAGAAATTATGTTGAAGCCAATCCTAAACATCATATCAGTTTACCTATAAATACTTCAGCAGATATCTCTGAAAGACAAGCATACTTGAATAGCCACAATGCCAATTTTCTATCCTTAAAAAGTTAACAATAACTTGTTTAATATCATTCAATATCCAGTCCATGTTTCTTTGATTGCCTCATAAATGGTTTTTAATAAGGTTTATTTGTTTGGGTTGGTACTGAAATAGGGTTATTTCTAACATTCTTGAATAGGTTCTTTAGTATGAGTTTTTCTTCAGAAGTGAAAACACATTTCATTTCTGTTTTAAATCTTGAGTATCAGACCGAGGATAAAGATTTGTCTCTACTAGCATACCTAATGCTTTTCCACCTGGTTGCAAATGAAATAAGTTAATGAGACTCATGTTTCTTATCAATAGCACTTTCCATTTTCTATTCATTTAATAAAATAATGACAAAGTCTAATACAATATTCAAACAATTGGACAATCATGCCTATCTTAGTCTGTTTTATGCTGCTGTAACAGCATACCCGAGATTGGGTAATTTATAATGAATAGAAATTGATTTCTCACAATTCTGGAGGTTGAGTAATCCAAGATTGAGAAGCCCACATCTGGCGAGCGCATTTTTTTGCTGCATCGTCCTATGGAGGGAGGTAGAAGGAGAAGGCGAGAGAATGATTAAAGGGAGCTATATTTGTTCTTTTCTAACAAGTCCACTCCTACAATAACAGCATTAATCGATTAATAGTCTAATCATCTCTTAAAGGTCCCACCTCCTAATAGTTACAATGGCTATTAAATTTCAACATGTGCTTTTTGGAGGACACATTCAAACCATAACAATGCCTGAATCAACAATTCAATTAAAGTTGTAAAAGCAATTGTCTATCCAGTTCTTTGGTCACTCCAACATGCACCTTGGCTGAATCTGGATGCAAAGGGTAGCCATTACAAGGCCTTAGTCACCAGTGATAAAGGAGATCTTTCACAAGGAGTGTTTCCTACACAGTCCACTTCGCTTATTGACTCCTTATTTGGAGTCCACAAAACAGAAAGTATTTTTGCCCTACTTCGAAGCACATGTTTCTTGAGAGAGCCAAAATACTGACATCTGGCCAAAAGCCAAGCACATAGCAGAAGTGTAGTCTACATATAATATCAGGATGAGACACTTTCTCCCAATCTACCCACCCCAACCACTTCTTTATGTTCAACGCACTTGGTAGAGTTCTTCCTTCTGTGCTGTGATATTATGATATATATTGGTTTTCAATCATGGTTCCTGGCTCATAACTCTGATAGCCCCTCTTAGAGTCTTTTGTCATAATGTTGGGTGCGTTAGGCCTCAGGGGCAGGCCTCTGACCTTCTCCTGCCCTCCTTTCACCTGACCCAAGGAAGGACCCTAATGTTTCATAATATGGTTTGGGTCTATGTCCCCACCCAAATCTCAGGTCAGATTGTAATCCCCAGTGTTGGAGGTAGTGGCTGGTGGGAGGTGATTGGATCACCGGGGCACTTTCTTATGAGTGGGTTATCATGATCCCCTCAGTGCTGTTCTCATGAAAGTGAGTGAGTTCTCCTGAGATCTTGTTATTTAAAAGTCTATATCCCTTCACCAGTCTCTCTCTTCCTCCTACTCTGGCCATGTGAAGTGCCTCGCTCCCTCTTTGCCTTCTGCCATGATGGTAAGTTCCCTGAGTCCTCCCCAGAAGCTGATGTTGCTATGCTTCCTGTACAGCCTACAGAACCATGAGACAATTAAACCTCATTTCTTTATAAATTACTGAGTCTCAGGTATTTCTTTTTCCTTTTATTTTCTTTTTCATTCTTAGGTATTTCTTTATAGCAGAGTGAGAATGGACTAATACATTCTGCCTTTCTGATTGTGGGTGTTAAGACCCTCTCCAGAGAGACTCCTGTGGTATACCTTGGGGGAGGGAATGCTGACATCATAAAGTTTCCATAAAAACCCAAGAGGACTGCGTTCAGGGAGCTTTCAGATAGCTAAATGTGTGAGGGTTCCTGGAGGTGGCACTCAGGGAGGGCATGGAAGCTCTGACCCCTTCACGTCTCTTCACCTGTATCCTTTGTAATATCCTTTATAATAAACCAATAACACTTTAAGATTGCTAAATATTGTCTTCATGAGAAGTTGATAAAGAATTTTGGTGGTTGATCTCTTTCTAGCTGCAGTTTAGCGTATGCTGAGGCCAGATATTTTCAAGCAAAAGTAAAATACCTGAGAAAATGCCTGGCCAGAGGACAATCAGATTTTGGCTGGCTCAAGTGACAAGCAAGTGTTTATAAGCTAGATGGGAGAGGAAGGGTTGAATAAACCAATAAATATAAGTAAGTGTTTTCCTGAGTCCTGTGAGCCACTTCAGCAAATTAGTCAAATCCAAAAAGGGGGCCATGGAAGCCCCAACTTGAAGCATGTTGGTAAGAAGTTTCAGAGGCCCAGACCTGTGACTAGTGTGGAAGGGGGAGGCAGTCTTGGGGACTGAGCTCTCAACTTGTGGAATCTGACACTATCTCCGGGTAGATAGTGTCAGAACTGAATTAAAGAACACCCAGCTGGTGTCTGCTGCTTGGTGTGTGGGGGAAAAACCACACACACCTGTGGTCACAGAAGTGGTCTTATGTTGATGATTGTTGTGGTTTGAGAGTAGAGGAAAAAGCATGGTTAGAGAGAGAGTTTTCCATACACACATATGCCCTGTGTTTATACTGTATATACCATTTACAGAGCCTGAGAGCAACATAAACAATGTCCCCCTCAATTCACTTGATTATGCTTTTTTTGGAATGAGTATAATTAACATCTTGCAGGGCCTTCATATGCCAGAGACAGGTGACCAAACTCGGGCAGTCAGCTCTTTAGGGACTTTTGAATAACCCCTCAGCCTACAGGATAATAATCTATCTGGTTAGAGTGTGTGGTCACTGAGTTTATTAGTTCTTGCTCTAGGGATGCTTCCTGCTTTCTCTGTCATCCTCTAGTTCACTTGCTGATTCCCAGTACCCAGTTGCCCACAGGCACAGAGAGAAATAAATATTAATTGTGTGTGTATAAGCTTATGTGTATACATGTGTATGTAGGTATATATATATATATATATATACATAAAAGCATAATTTAAAAAATAGAGACTCTATATCTATAGAGAAATGCACATCCATGTTCTATGAACAGGCATCTGTATAGCAGAGGAAACAGAACATTTATAGTTTACCCTTTTAAAATATGAATCTGAGGCAGAGTATGATGGCTCACACCTGTAATCCTAGTACTTTGGGAAGCCAAGGTGGGTGGATTGCTTGAGTCCAGGAGTTCAAGACCAGCCTGGGCAACATGGCAAGACCATGTCTCTACAAAAAACACAAAAATTAGCCAGGTATGGTG
This sequence comes from Homo sapiens, assembly GCF_000001405.40. Lineage (NCBI taxonomy): Eukaryota > Metazoa > Chordata > Mammalia > Primates > Hominidae > Homo > Homo sapiens. The sequence goes on along the minus strand of NC_000004.12, from coordinate 83,340,354 downwards.
GCATATGCCTGTGGTTGCAGCTACTCTGGAGGCTGTGGCAGGAGGATCATTTCCTCTCGAGAGGTGGAGGTTGCAGTGAGCTGAGATCATGACACTGTATTCCAGCCTGGGTGACAAAGTAAGAGCCTGTCTCAAATAAATAAATAATTTAATTTAATTTAATTAAACATTAATCTGATCCTATCACAGCACCCACCCCAGGCTTGAAGCCCTTTCAATGGCTTCTCATTGCTCTAAAAATATTGCAAGGCTCAGCAATGTTTGTTCCTACATCCTCAGCTGTCCCCTTGCTCTCTCTAATCCAGACACCCCAGCCTTCTCTCAGTCCCCTCACTATCCATGCTCTCACACACCACAGGACCTTTCCACAGGCCATTCCCCTAGCCTTGAATGATTTCCCTCTACCTAGTTGTCTACTCATCTTTCAGATCTTAAGTGTCACATCCTCAATGGCCCCTCCCCCCAAATCGAAATTCTACCTCATACACACGTAAAGCACCATGATCACCTTTGGAGCACCTACCACACTTGCAATTTCACTTTTGCGTGATATTTTTAAATTCATTATTATTATTATTATTATTATTATTATTATTATTATTATTATTTTGAAACAGAGTCTGTCTCTGTTGCCTAGGCTGGAGTGCAATGGCGCAATCTTGGGTCACTGCAAACTCTGCCTCTCGGGCTCAAGCAATACTCCTGACTTAGCCTCCTGAGTAGCTGGGACCACAGGCACATGCCACCATGCCAGCTAATTTTTTGTATTTTGGGAAGATACGGGGTTTCACTATGTTGCTAACGCTGGTCTTGAACTCTTGGAGTCAAGTGATCCACTTGCCTCAGCAGTGAGATTACAGGCGTGAGCCACCACCATCCTGTGATTTTTAAAATACCTTCTACTTCCCCAGTAAGACTTCAGAGCACAGGAACAATCCCTGCTTGCTGCTTACAGTTGCCTAGCTCAGTGCTTGGTACATAGTAGGTGCCCAATAACTACTTGAATGAATAGATGAATAAACGAATATGTGAAAGCACATTGTAGAACACCATGCATGCAATAGATGTTAACTTCCTTCCTTTCACCATTCAGCAAAAATTTTCTCTTAATTTCTCCTTGCTTTGAAATACAGTTTGATTGGCAAATAATTAAAAGCAAAACTTAACTTTAGAAAGTCATAACCCAATAACTCAAAACAACACATTTGTAACTATTTATTTGCCCGGAGATAACTACAAATGCCTAAAAGTTTGCCCACATTCAGAGATTTCTACATTAGAAAAGTCTTAATTTTCTAAACAGACAAGTGATAAGATTATCATTTTCTGAAAATATCCTGAAATCAGTCTGTTGTTTTACAAGTGTTTGTAATTGTTGACCAGGTAAACCTTGTGTGAATCCCTAAAAACCCAATGCCAGTACTGAAAATCAATCCACAGACCACATGGAAATGAGATCACATGATAATTATTTTTTGTATTTTTATGCATTTATTTTTTATTTATTAATATTTTTTGAGACAGAGTCTCACATTGTTGTCCAGGCTGGAGTGCAGTGGCATGATCATGGCTCACTGCAGTCTCTATCTCCTGGGCTCAAGCAAGCTTCCCACCTTAGCCTGTGAAGTAGCTGGTACTACAAGTGCATGCCACCACATCCAGCTAATTAAAAAACATTTTTTTTTTTTTTAGAGATGGGATCTTGCTATGTTGCCCTGGCTGGTTTCAAACTCCTGGGCCCAAGCGATTCTCCCTCCTCAGCCTCCCAAAGCACTGGGATTACAGGTGTGAGCCACTGCACCCAGCCCCATAATTAATAAAGCGTTCACATAAACTTTCTAGTTCATTTAAAGTTTTTTATTTCTAAATCATTTTCATCACATAATTTGTGAGTCCCTAAATCTGCGTGAGGTAGTGGAAAAACTCTGGGCTTGGAATCAGAAAGCTGTAAATCTACTTTACAAGGTTATTGCAAAGATTAAGTGGGGGTAATAATTTTTTAAAAAATAATCTCTCATCTGTTAAACACATACCTCACATTGTAGATGGAGCTAGCTGTGTTACATTATTGTCAATTAATTCTTTAAAAAAAGACTATGGGCCAGGCATGGTGGCTCATGCCTATAATCCCAGCACTTTGGGAAGCATAAGTGGGTGGATCTCTGAGCTCAGCAATTTGAGACCAGCCTGGGCAACATGGAGGAACCCCATCTCTACCAAAAATGCAAAAAATTAACAGGGCATGGTGGGGCACACCTGTGGTCCCAGCTACTTGGGAGGCTGAGGTGGGAGGATTGCTTGAGTGTGGAGGTGGAGGTTTCAGTGAGCCAAGATCACATCACTGTATTCCAACCTGGGTGACAGAGTGAGACCCTGTTTCAAAAAAAAAAAATCTTATGAAATATGTATTATTACCCCTACTATATAGATGAAGAAATTGAGGCTCTTGGAAATTGACGATCTGGCCCAAGATTGTACATCCCATCAAGCTGCAGGGCTAAGATGTATGAAAAAGGGCTCTAGCTAGGATGTATGTAGCTGTAACTTGCTATAAAAATTAAGGTGTCTTATTATAAAATATCTCTGAAATGATAGTTCCTATTAATATTCCTATATGTTCCTCCTTCCTATGTATCCATATCATACATCCTTATCAGACATTGTAAATCAAACCAAATTAGAAGCAGGAGCAAGATCTCAGCCAACAGATCATCATGTGTGCAAATTGCTTCTCTGCCCCCTCGTTTTTGTTTTCCCAGTTTCTTTTCTTTTTCTTTTTTTTCTTTTTTTTTTGACAGGGTCTTGCTCTGTCTCCCATTGTGCAGCGGCATGATCTTGGCTCACTGCAATCTCTGCCTCCCATGCAATTCTTATGCATCAGCCTCCTGAGTAGCTTGGATTATAGGTCTGCGCCACCACTCCTGGCTACACCATGTTGCCCAGGCTGGTCTTGAACTCTTGGGCTCTAGTGATCCACCCGCCTTGGCCTCCCAAAGTGCTGGGATTACAGGTGTGAGCCATCACACCCGGCCCCCCGTTTCCATATTAGTAACTCACATGTAGACCACAAGGATGCACTATTTAGAAAACTTGCAATGGTCCACTTTTCAAATCACCCAAACATGTTAAAGAAATTGGTATGACTGGGCATGGCACAGTGGCTCATGCCTGCAATCCTAGCATTTTGTGAGGCTGAGACGGGCAGATCACGAGGTCAGGAGATTGAGACCATCCTGACAGACATGGTGAAATCCCATCTCTACTAAAAATACAAAACAATTAGCCGGGGGTGATGGCAGGCCCCTGTAGTCCCAGCTACTCGGGAGGCTGAGGCAGGAGAATGGCGTGAATCCAGGAGGCAGAGCTTGCAGTGAGCCGAGATGGTGCCACTGCACTCCAGCCTGGGCGACAGAGCGAGACTCCGTCTCAAAAAAAAAAAAAAAGAAAGAAATTGGTATGACTGTTGACTCACAACAGGAGTCAGGGGCATGGGGTGGGGTGTAAGATTAATGTCATGACAAATGTGGAAAAGAAACTTCTGTTTTTCCAACTCCACGTCTGCTACCATATTATTACACTCTTCTGGTAGTGTGGTGTTTATGTGTGAATTTTTTTTCATATGTATACAGTAATTGTAGGATATGAACCTGATTCTAGTTGCAAAACTCACTATGAGCTTAGCTTTTAAGTTGCTTAAGAATAGGTAGATCTATGCAAATAATGATAATTATTATTATTATTTTAAGAGAGGGTCTCACTTTGTCACCCAGGCTGGAGTGCAGTGGTGTGATTAAGGGTCACTGCAACCTCCACCTCCCAGGCTCAAATAAACCTCCCACCTCAGCCTCCCCAGTAGCTGGAACCACAGGCACGGGCCACCACGCCTGGCTAATTTTTTGTATTTTTTGTAGAGATGGGGTTTCATCATGTTGCCCAGGCTGTTCTTGAATTCCTCGGCTCAAGCAATCCTCCCACCTTGGCCTCCCAAAATGCTGGCATCACAGGCATGATGGCATCACTGGCATCACATACCATGCCTGGCCTGATTTATGCAAATTAGATATGCATTTCAAAATAATCTATTTTTATTTGTTGCCTTATTGGTGGTACAATCTCAAGTGGAAAAATCTAAGGGTTTTGGTGTTATTTGCTTACTCAACCAATATTTATTAGACTCTTACTAAGCACCAACATGATCACATGCCTGAGCTATGGCTAGCATAGCGTGTGAGACAAACTTAATCTCTGTTTTGGTGGAGCATATAATCTAGTAGATGAAGCCAATGTTGAGCAACATCACAATACTAACAAATTGAGGATGCTACGAGAGTGTCTAACAAATTGAGGATGCTACGAGAGTGTCTAACAAATTGAGGATGCTATGAGAGTGTGTCATGGAGAGCTGCCTGGAGATTGAGAGAAAGCTTCCTTGAGGGAAGTTACATTTCAGCTGAAACACACTGCCATCTGCTCGAGGTTTTGTAACTGCATTCACATCCCGATTCTGACACTTCACATCCCGATTCTGACACTTCACCCAGTTACTGTCTCAGAGCTTGGGTCCGCATGTGTAAAACAAGGACAGTATGCACTTGGCAGGGTTGTGAGAAGGGAAGAGAACACAAGTAAAGCACCTGTATCAGGCATACAGTAGGCACTAAGCGTGCGATGCTTGCTATGATTATACATCAGTGTAAGCATCAAGGAAAAGCTGAAGAAAAGTCTGACCAACAGCGAAAGATAAATGCGCAGAGGAGAAATTTGGCAAAGGCTCCAAATTCAGGGGCAGTCCGTACTCTACACTTTGTATGGGGGCTTCAGGTCCTGAGTTCCAGACATTGGAGCAACTAACCCTTTAAGATTGCTAAATATTGTCTTAATGAGAAGTTGATAAAGAATTTTGGGTGGTTGATCTCTTTCCAGCTGCAGTTTAGCGTATGCTGAGGCCAGATTTTTTCAAGCAAAAGTAAAATACCTGAGAAACTGCCTGGCCAGAGGACAATCAGATTTTGGCTGGCTCAAGTGACAAGCAAGTGTTTATAAGCTAGATGGGAGAGGAAGGGATGAATACTCCATTGGAGGTTTTACTCGAGGGTCAGAGGGATACCCGGCGCCATCAGAATGGGATCTGGGAGTCGGAAACGCTGGGTTCCCACGAGAGCGCGCAGAACACGTGCGTCAGGAAGCCTGGTCCGGGATGCCCAGCGCTGCTCCCCGGGCGCTCCTCCCCGGGCGCTCCTCCCCAGGCCTCCCGGGCGCTTGGATCCCGGCCATCTCCGCACCCTTCAAGTGGGTGTGGGTGATTTCGTAAGTGAACGTGACCGCCACCGAGGGGAAAGCGAGCAAGGAAGTAGGAGAGAGCCGGGCAGGCGGGGCGGGGTTGGATTGGGAGCAGTGGGAGGGATGCAGAAGAGGAGTGGGAGGGATGGAGGGCGCAGTGGGAGGGGTGAGGAGGCGTAACGGGGCGGAGGAAAGGAGAAAAGGGCGCTGGGGCTCGGCGGGAGGAAGTGCTAGAGCTCTCGACTCTCCGCTGCGCGGCAGCTGGCGGGGGGAGCAGCCAGGTGAGCCCAAGATGCTGCTGCGCTCGAAGCCTGCGCTGCCGCCGCCGCTGATGCTGCTGCTCCTGGGGCCGCTGGGTCCCCTCTCCCCTGGCGCCCTGCCCCGACCTGCGCAAGCACAGGACGTCGTGGACCTGGACTTCTTCACCCAGGAGCCGCTGCACCTGGTGAGCCCCTCGTTCCTGTCCGTCACCATTGACGCCAACCTGGCCACGGACCCGCGGTTCCTCATCCTCCTGGGGTAAGCGCCAGCCTCCTGGTCCTGTCCCCTTTCCTGTCCTCCTGACACCTATGTCTGCCCCGCCAGCCGCTCTCCTTCTTTTGCGCGGAAACAACTTCACACCGGAACCTCCCCGCCTGTCTCTCCCCACCCCACTTCCCGCCTCTCATTCTCCCTCTCCCTCCCTTACTCTCAGACCCCAAACTGCTTTTTGGGGGGTATCATTTAAAAAATAGATTTAGGGGTTACAAGTGCAGTTCTGTTCCATGGGTATATTGCATTGTGGTGGCATCTGGGCTCTTAGTGTAACTGTCACCCGAATGTTGTACATTGTATCTAATAGGTAATTTCTCATCCCTCATCCCTCTCCCACCCTCCCACCTTTTGGAGTCTCCAGTGTCTACTATTCCACTAAGTCCATGTGTACACATTGTTTAGCGCCCACTCTAAATGAGCCTTTTTGTTTCATTCATTCTGTAAGTGTTGAATAGGCACCACCTAAGGTCAGGTATAAGTGGAAATTTGAAAAAGAAACTGCCCACTTGCCCCAGTACTTCCCTAGCCAAGAGGAGGGAAACCAGGCAGGTGCACCTGAAGGCCTGTGAGTGCTTGATTTGCTGTGCAGTGTAGGACAAGTAAGATTGTGCATAGCCTTCTGTATTTAAGACTGTGTTAGGAAGATTTCTCTTTCTTTTCTTTTCTTTTTCTTTTTTCTTTTCTTTTTTTTTTTTTAGGCAGATGAAAAGGGCGTCACAGAACAGGAATAAAAATCTAAATATTCAATAAATGAGACCTAGGAGACTACTGCAGTGACTTACAAAGTCCTAATAAAAAGATGTCTCTCCAAAATGGGGCTGCAAAATGTGGTGCTGCCTTATCAGCTCTAAGTTTTTTCCTTACCTGAGAAAGAAGGAACCTGATGCAGGTTCAGGGCTCCTGCCCCATGAATGCAGGCTGACTCCAAGATGGGGAGCTACAGGGACAATCCCAGGTCTTCTAGGCCTCTTATTTAGGCCCTGGGAGCCTCCAGAGATGGCCACATCTTGACCAGCCCAGATAGAGGGAAAGATCACCATTATCTCACCTCTGTGTCAAATACCTAGATGCTGTCCTCCCTGAGCCCACACTATAGTTGCCAGCGCTAATTTAATGGGTAGTGTACTGGTTAAGAGATGGACAGACCATCCTGGCTTGACTCTCAGCTCTGGCAAAGATGAGTGACTTGGTTTTTCCATATCTCTTGGCCACACCAACCTTGATTTCTTCAGCTGTAGAATGGAATTTCTCAAGCTTGCCTCAAGGATTATTGCCCGAGGATTTGATGATATGGTAAGAGCTTCTCAGTGTTTGACCCATAGTAAGTGTTTGACGTTTCAAACGAATTGTTTCTTTCTAGGACATGGTGAGCATTTGGTAGCCATTCACCGGTTTTCTGTTTCTTTGGATCATAGTTAACCTCTCCTTTTCCTTCTGGCACTACAATTTTCTGGTGGGGAAGAATCCTTACTTTCTGCCCTTCCCCTTAAGGATAGGAAGCTGATACTAGGCAGCAACTAGTTGGGGGATAGGAAGATTGTTCCAGAGAAATGCTGAACCATAGGGCTCCAGATCACAGGACCCCAGTCTTAGCTTGCTGGGGTGTGGGGTGGGGGGGGGCGGTTACTGAACATGGGTATGAAGTAGATGTCCATTTACTGAAATGTGAGGACCTGAGGCCTCTTCTATTGCTGTAGCCAGCATATTCCCCAACCTCTCCCCAAGAAAGGACAGATGGGGGTTCCCCCCTGGAGTAACAGGTCCAAAAGAAAAAACATACAGTGGGACTTCCAGGATCTGGGCCTGATCACCCAGCAGTCAAGCTCCCCGCAATTGACTAACACCCCCCTAACACGTAGAAATTCCAATCTGCAATTTAGTGAGGATGATACCTTTATTCTTCTTAAATACATCTCTTCATTTCCCAGAGCACCCTTTTTTCCCCTCCTCTGCACCTTTTTGTTAAAGACTGGAGTATAATGAAATACCAAGAGAGCATAACATGTGATACATAAAACTTTTTTTCTGGTTTACAAAACAGTTCATTCTTGTCCATACGTGCTTCTCTCCAAGGCTGGCTGCTGTCTGTTCCAGCCCGCTTCGCTTGGAGAGGCCATCTGCCATACCTGCTCCCCAGACGCATCGACAAGCACACCCAGAGTGTTATCTGCTAAGACCTAAAAGAGGGAGGAACCCCCTCTCCTCATCTAAGACCTAGCTTCTAAATTAGAGTGTGAGGGTCCATCTCCCCAGGAGGGGCACAGGGCCCAAACAGCCCAGCCATCTCAGAAGACAACACTAAGCTTTGTAGGGGTCCACAGTAGAGGAGAGTAAGACGCCTGTTGTTTAATTTATTACAGTTCCTCAAAAGTGAAGATGTGTGGGCGGGATGGCAAGAGCTGAGCAGACGAAAGCTGAAGGAATAAGGAAAGAGAGGAGGACACAAACAGCTGACACTTCCTCAGTTCTTGTCATTTGCCTGGCCCTGTTCTAAGCACCTTCTAGGTATTAATCCATTTAGTCTTGGCTACAACACTGTGAGTGACTAGTTTTGTCACCCCCATTTTAAAAATGAAGAAAGTGAGGCTCAGGGAGGTTAAGTAACTTGGCCACAGTTTGAAACTAGACTCTGATCACATGAGATAATAGTGCCCATAAAAAGGGAAAGCAGATTATATTTTTTAAAGGAAAGAGAGTAGGATATGGTAGAAAAAGATTGTTTGGAAAGGAATTGAGAGATTGATATAATGAAAAGAAGCATTCACATGAGAGTAACAGTATCAGGGCCCAAACCTTCATCTAAGGTACTTCAAAGAGGCCTAAGCAAACTTAGTCACTGGCGTGGTTCTAGTCTCCATGATGGCAAATACATTGTGTACAGCCCAACTCCACACAAAACTTAAATACCAATGATAGAGCAATCTAAAATTTGAAAGAAAAAATCTTTCAATTTGTCGTCTTCCCAGAGGGACTTAATCAAGAAACCAATCAAAATACTTCCTAAGCCTAACTGTGTGCAGAACTCCAAAGAGAGCCCAGCCCTAAATCAACACTGTCCAATGGAAATATAATATAATGTGGGCCTCATATGCAAGGTCATATGTAATTTTAAATTTTCTAGTAGCCATATTAAAAAGGTAAAAAGAAACAAGTGAAATTAATTTTAATAATTTTATTTAGTTCAATAGATCCAAAATGTTTTCTCAGCATGTAATCAATATAAAAATATTAATGAGGTATTTATTATTCCTTTTCTCAAACCAAGTCTATTCTATAATCTGGCGTGTATTATTTACAGCACTTCTCAGACTATATTTCTTTCTTTCTTTTTTTTTTCCGAGACAATTTTGCTCTTGTCACCCAAGCTAGAGTACAATGGCGTTACCTCGGCTCACTGCAACCTCCGCCTCCCGGGTTCAAGTTATTCTCCTGCCTCAGTCTCCCAAGTAGCTGGGACTAGAGGCATGCACCACCACGCCTGGCTAATTGTGTATTTTTAGTAGAGACAGGGTTTCACCATGTTGGCCAGGCTAATCTCAAACTCCTGAGCTCAGGTGATATGCCCACCTCGGCCTCCCAAAGTGTTGGGATTACAGGCGTGAGCCACTGCACCCGGCCTCAGATTAACTATATTTCAAGCGTTCAGTAGCCACATGTAGCTAGTGCTATGGTAGTGGACAGTACAGATCTGCATTTCAATTAAGACACGTATACAAGCATAGTTCACTAATGCACGGTAAAAAAAAGTATAGTGCTGAGTCGGTGGTAGAAATCCTAAATACTGCAGAGCAAAAGTGGTACGAACAGCAATCTCAGTGATAATGCAACCATGCTTGCTTTTCATTGCAATTTGCTTATTTTCCTTCAGCAAAGTTCATCCATTTTTGCCAATTCAATAAATATTTACTGATAAAAACTTTCAATATTAGATTCTTGCATCTTCATAGACAGAGTTGCTTTTCACATTTAGAAAATTACTTATCAATGTTAAACACACGTTTTGATAACCAGTGTTGGAAAGAGGTGCAGACTCCCCATGTGCCTATTGATGGCAGAAATATTCACAGCCAAAGGGAAACAAAGGGCTGGGGACAATCACACACCTCATGTCTCCTAACTCCTGGGAAGTGCTGTCCCTCTGATTGAGCTCTTATTATTGCCTTCCCCACTAACCCTGTCCACTGTGCCCTGGAGCCCTTTGCAGGGTTACCTGCTCTGTCCTCCTCACAGAATATCTCCTCTACCTCCTTGTCCAAGCTACAACTTGGCTATTCTCTGATGACACTGTCTTCCCTGTAGCCCTTTTGAGTAATGGCTGCATATTCTCCCATAGTCCAGTTCTTTTCCTGTTCTCCAGTCTGGCTTCTGGATGACAGCCCACTAGTTTGAACTCCATACTGCTATAGTTCAAGTCCCTTTTGACTTGTTACCTTGGGCAAATTACCTCCTTTTGTTCAGGTTCCTTGTTTGTAAAATGACGATAATAATGCCATTTGCTTCAGTGGGTTATTTTGAAATTGAGTGAAAGAAGGCGGGTAGCTTCCCTACACGCTCAGTGTAGACTAGCCTGATGTGCATTACGGGTGATGCCATGACTCAGTGTGTTTTCCTCATCTCCACATCTGGCTCTCATCCAGTGCTCCTGCTTACGGCACTCTGTCCCCCTCTTACTTACTCCCCCTTATTAACTGAAGACTGGCACTGATCTCACAGTTTCCTCTCCACTTCCTAGTCTCACCATCATCCTAGATGACTTCAAGTCACCTAGATAAACTGTCTCAGTTTCTTCACTCACATTTTTTTATAACAGATAATGTTACACTCAAGTTGTAACAGAACCAGCTTATCCAGCTCATGAAATGTATGCATTTCATCTCAACTCTGTATTCAGTGACATCCTGTGGGTATCTGGAAATCAGCCATGGTGAGAATATTTACCATGGAAATTGGCAAATACTAAAAAGCAGAGCACCTTTTTTTCTGAGAGCCAGACCATAGCTCTTCTACTCCATAGCACCCATCATAACAATTTTTAAATACCTCCACTGAACAGCTTCTTCCTCTCTCTACTTCTTCCATATCTGATTTGAGCTTCTTAATTTATCATGTGAACCACTCTTGTAATAATAACCCCAAATCCCTGTTCCATTGTTCTTCCTGCTAAAATACTAAACCTGGTTTAGTCCAACCATATTTTCTCTCTTTGGAATCTACAGGGTGGCCCAAAAACCTGGAAATGGAAAAATATTACTTATTAATTTTAATGTATATTAATAAGCCATTTTAATGCTTCATTTCCAGTCTCAGTGGCCACCCTGTATAGCTGGGCTATTGAGCTCTTGCGGGAGGAGGGAGTGGACAGTCTCCCAGCCACACAGACTGATGTTGCACCAAACATTTTTTAGCTTCCAGACTTCCCTGGCCCTTAGTGTTACCCTTAACTCTCCATTTCTCTGCCTTTCACATTCTCTACTTTTTAAAAATCTCTGACTCCACCTTCACCTTATCATTCTTAGCACATGACCATACTTCTGCTTCCCAAAGAAAATGAGCAATTACTTCCTTTTCCTTTTCCTCCTGTCATCAAATCTGCAGACATGTCATGCCTAAGTCCAGCTTTCCTCCTTTCTCTGATCTCAGTCTGCTTCTTCCATTTCTGCCCTGAATCCCGTCCCCTCCCCAACCCCCAAGGACTTCGCTCTATCAGTCACCTCTTCCCTCTCCTGTATCTTCAACTCCTCCCATTTTACTGGCTTCTTCCTCAAGCCTTTCCCCAAGCCTTTCCCCAAGCCTTTCCCATCTCAATTACCTCCTCGCACATGCCTCTGCAGAAACCACCCCGTTTCTTCCCTCCCCTCGGCAGCCTGTTCTTCCTGTTCTGCCCTCATGATGGCACCATCATTGTGTCACTAAAATCAATCTCTCCGACATCATCAATGGCCTTCCTTTGTTGGGAAACCTAATAAACACTTTATCTTATTTGGTCTTTGTTATGGGTTGAATGAGGTTACCCCGAAATCCATATTAGAAGTCCTAACCCCCAGTACCTCAGAATGTGACTTTATTTGGGAATAGGGTCATTGCAGACGTTATTAGTTAGGATGAGGTCATACTGGAATGTGATGGGCTGCTTATCTAATATGACTGATGTCCTTATAACAAGGAGAAATTTGGAGACAGACACGCACATAGGGAGAATACCATGTGATGACAGGAGTTATGGAGTTGGAGTCAAAAAGCTATGGGAACTTAGGAGAAAGACCTGGAACAAATCCTTTCCTGCGCCTAGAGAGGGAGTATGGCCCTGCCACTACCTTGAATTCAACGTTTCGGCTTTTCAAAACTGTAAGACAATACATTTCTGTTGTTCAAACCAATTAGTTTGCAGTACTCTGCGACTGCAGCCCTAACAAACTAATACAGTCTCTTGGAGGCATTTGGCAAGGTTGACAATGGAAGCACTTTCTTACCCCTTTAGGTCTGTCGCCTTTCTTGTTGGGGGGTGTTTTCTAACAATTCCTCTCCATCTCTCTCTCTCTAGTTTGTCTTAAACATTGGTGTTCTTCAGACTTCTGACCTAGGCCTTCTTTTCACTTCACATATTCCCCTGGGTGGTCTCACCCACTTCCAGAAATTACTTAAATTACTGCTCATGCAGTACTGTGCTGGAAACTGTTTAACAACTGGCTCTCTGGGAAGAGGGGAGACTGGTTGATGGTTTTTGCTGATTTCTGTGGTGTAAATACTCCCTCCATGGCCAATTCCAAACTGCCAACAGTTTAACAACTGGCTCACAAATTTTCTCCAAATTTAACATTTGGCTTTCACAGGCCAACAACGTGGTACAGCCAACTCCAGCACACCTCTGCTTTTGTGTCAGAGAGAAGTAACTTATTTTTGTACAAAAGGTAAAATAAAAACACCTGCAGGCCCCCTTTTTTTCCTTAACAAACTGCTCTAGAAATAGAATAGCTGAAGCTTCTTTTATGCATTCATCTGTTATTTCCATGTCACTGTGGTGGTGGGATTATTTTTCCTTTATTTTTCTTGTATATGGTTGAAATACTGTACCTTTGATCAGTTTTAGTTTTATGGCATGTTTTGCACCCATATTAAATCTAGTTTTTGTCAGAGGGCGTCAATATTATTTTCTCAAAACAAGAAAATATTTCATTGCAAAGGAGACAAACAAAAAGGTCCTTAATACCAAAACTTTGAAATGTGATTTCTTGTACTTGGCAGTGTCCAAGTGGTAAACCCAAACAGTATTGGGTTTTCATTTTGTTCAGGAAAGTCTTTGTCTGGCAGCGACTTACCCTTACATCAGGCGGGCCTTGCTCATTCATTCACTTAAGTATTTATTAAACACCAGCGGTGTGCCAAGTACTTATCTAGGTATCGGGTAGATTCTGATAAGTCAGTCAGGTCCCTGCTCTCAGGGAGCTTGCAGCAGAGATGGGGGCTGCAATAGAGAGTAAGCCAAGGAAATGAAAAAGGAAGTTGATTTCAGAGAGTGATGAATGCTATGAAGAAAATGAAGGCAGCGCAGTGTGATGGAGAGTGACCCAAGGTGGTACAGTTTGTACCTCTAAGGACCAGGCTGTGACCCAGGTCACTCACAGATGCCCGTCATGTGATGCCACAGCAACTTTTCCAGGTGCTCGTTTCCTCCCACTTCCCAGTCTCTTGCCCAGCCGCGACTGCTTACAAATACAGCTAGAGGAATCTAAATGAGGTTCCTCTATCATCAAACCCAATCAAAATGCCAAGGAACAGAATCAGTGCCTGGCTGAAGGCAGTGGAACAGGGCCAGCCTGGAGTGGTTCTCTCTGAGGAAGTTCCTCATCTTGGTTTTAGGGCCATACCTTGTGACCTGTGAGCTAGGGGTTGCCAGTCCCTGACATTTCTACTGAGGACTCGCCTGTCTATATTCCCGGCCTGTATGTGTCTCCTGAGTTCCAGACACACAGGGCGAAGCGCCTGATGGATGGAAGTATGTTTTTTGGTGTTCCATTGGTATCTCAAATTCTACAAAACTTAGTGCCCCTTCTCCTCCCTGTTCCTCCCCATCTTCAGTCTATCACCTGTTCCTCATCCAGCAAATGATATTACCATCTTCCAAGGAGCTTCCCAGGAGTAATCCTTGACTCCTCCTCAACATCCAATTAATAATCAAATCTAGGCCAGGTACAATAGCTCATGCCTATAATCCCAGCACTTTGGGAGGCTGAGGCAGGTGGATCATTTGAGGCCAGGAGTTCAAGACCAGCCTGGCCAACAAGGTGAAACCTGTCTCATTTAAAAAAAGTTATTTTAAAAACTCAAATCTATTATTTCTACCTCTAAGTGTGTCTTGAATTTATCCATCTCTCTCCATCTCTGAGCTGTTACCTTACCTCAGTCCATCACGTTTTGTCTACGTTAACATGACCAGAGTCTTGTTCTTAGTCTGGTGAGGTCACTCCAGCTGCTTCAGATCCTTCCATGGCTCACCGTTGCCCTCATATAAAGTTGGCACTCCTGGACATGTGGCTTACGGGGCCCTCCGTGATGTGGCCCTATTTGCTTCTCCATTCTGTTCTCTCCCAGCCTCTCTGCCCCCATCTCTAGGCACCAACCACACCCTTCTGCTCGTCAATGGTGCCAGCTTCTCTTCTATCTCTGGTCTTTGGACAGACTTTTCCCTTCACCTGGAATGCTTTCTTCAATCCTACCCCACTCTCTTTAATCTAGATAAGGTTTATTCTTTTTGAATGTCTAGCAGTGAAACCATTTCCCCTGAAAAACCTTCTCTATCCAACCCCCTACCCTCAGCCCAAGGTCTAGATTAGGAGTCCCTCTGAATGTTTCCATAGCATTTTTAAAGAATTGCCTATTTACTTGTTCGTATCTATCACTAAACTACAAATTGTATGAGAACAGCCACTATCTCTGCCTGGTTCACCATTCATCTCCAGCAACTAGCATAATGCCTGGCAGAGTCAGCCTGCAACAAATATTTGTTGAATAAATTAACAGATGGCTTTATCTCCTTAAGTAAATCTTGCTTTTTTCACCTATTAAAACAGACGCACAGGCCAGGTGTGGTGGCCCATGCCTGTAATCCCAGCACTTTGGCAGGCTGAGGTGGGCGGATCACCTGAGGTCAGGAGTTCAAGACCAGCCTGGCCAACATGGTGAAACCCCATCTCTAATAAAAATACAAAAATTAGCTGGGCATGGTGGTGGGTGCGTATAGTCCCAGCTACTAGGGAGGCTGAGGCAAGAGAATCGCTTGAACCCAGGAGGCAGAGGTGGCAGTGAGCCGAGATCATGCCACTGTACTCCAGCCTGGATGACAGAGACCCTGTCTCAAAACACACACACACACACACACACACACACACACACACACACACACACACACACACCAAGTTGTATAATTTAAAATATAACGTGCTTGTTATGGAACACTTGTAAAATACAGGAAAGTAATGAAAAAGTCTACCATCTAGCTCACCACATAATGACCATTGCTATCATCCTGGCATAATTCTCTCCTGTATATAAATATATATTCTTTTATTGTTAAAATTACACTATGAGTACTATTTATTTATTTTATTGTGGCAAAATGCGCAAAACATAAAATCTTGCCATTTTAAGGTATGCAGTTTGGTGCATTCACCACACTCACATTGTTGTGCAAATATCACCACTATCTATCTCAGAACTTCTTCGTCTTCCCAAACTGAAACTCTGTACCCATTAAACAATAGTGCATCCTCTGTTTTCCCCTCCCTACAATTTATTTTTATTTGGGTTTGTACCAAACTGAAAATAGCTGCTTCTTCCTTACTTAGTTCAGATTAGCATTTCCATTTATTTAGCCGTGGTTTTGAGGATGCCATGACAGATGCCATCCTTCCTAGAGCTCTTTGGGGCTGTCAGGTATTTCAGTCAGGGTGAATTCGGGTTGATAACATTTTAAAATCTCACTTTATTCTGAGGTTCCTAGTGTCAGAGCCCACCGTATTTTTAGGGACTCCCAAGTTACAAACAAAAATATGGTGAGGAGGAATCACTGAAGTTTTAACACAAGAGACTTACATTTTGTTCAATTTCTATCTTTTAGTTTATTTCCTAAGCATAAAGAAATACTTTGAAAATTTTACATAGCATTATACATATTTAATTAAGCATGAGCACATCTTAAAACTTTAAATTTTAGATCAGATCTTTAATTCCTAGGATATTAAGAGGTACTGGCAATTTGGCCAGGTGTGGTGGTTCACGCCTATAATCCCAACACTTTGGGAGGGTGAAGTGGGCGAATTGCTAGAGCCCAGGAGGTGGAGGCTGCAATGGCCTGAGATCACGCCATCGTACTCCAGCCTGGATGATGAGAATGAAATCCTGTCTCAAAAAAAAAAAAAAAAAAAAAAAAAGAAGAAGAAGAAGTATTGGCAATCAGTGCTCCAGGAATAATTTCCTGACTTGAAATAAACCTACATGTAGACAAACTAATTAGGCCATTCCAAGAGTTGCTAGCATTGGTTTAATATGTTTTCAGAGCATTCCAGGAAGCAGTGTGGCCAGCATTGCATGTTTGATACTTCAGAAATGTATGACAGGTGTTTCTCTTACCCAGGTCTTCTGTTTTCTTAGTTTTGCTCATGTAAATATTTATGAACATCCTCATCTTTTTGAGGGAAGGGATTATAGATCATTCTAATTCCATTTTCTAGCATTTGGTACCATTCTAAGCACATGATAGGCACCCATTTGGAGCATTTTTGGCTTGACAGAATATGCATTTAGAATTGTTCAAATTAGAGGTGTCAGTGATGGGAATTAGAATACTATATAATTCTAAGTCATTTGACTTAAATACAAAAGAATGATTTTCCTTGGTGGGGAATGGTGAAGGGAGGCAGGAGTTAAGAAGAGGAGAAGAGATCCTAAGTCATTTATAAACTTCTCTGGAAAGACAGGTGTGTGAAGACTTTTTAAAAAGTCATTCACCAAATTGTGTGTGTGTGTGTGTGTGTGTGTGTTTTAAATAGACTTTATTTTTTAGAGCAGTTTTAGGTTCACAGCAAAATTGAATGCAAGGACAGAGATTTCCCATAAACCCCCTGCCCACACACATGCATAGCCTCCCTCATTATCAACATCCCCACCAGAGAGGTGTTTGTTCTAGTTGATGAACCTACACTGACACATCATTATCACCCAAAGTCCATAGTTCACGGCAGGGTTCACTGTCGGTGTACATTCTATGGGTTTGAGCAAATGTATAATGACATGTATCCACCATTATAGTAACATACAGAGTATTTTCAGTGCCCTGCAAATCCCCTGTTCTCCACCTATTCATCCCTCCCTCTCTGCATTTCCACCCCCAGCCCCTGGTAACCGCTGATCTTTTTACTGTCCCATAGTTTCGGACGATCTATTTTTCAGACAGACACAGAGCTGTCTTTCCCTTAGTTTCTATTCTATCATTTCTTTCTCCCCATCCATCATAAAAGGCTATGAGTTTTTTTTAAGTGTTGAACACCATCCTACTTGTCAAGTTAAAACATAAGCTCCTGGCTGGGTACAGTGGCTCATGCCTGTAATCTCAGCATTTTGGGAGGCTGTGGCAGAAGCATCACTTGAAGCCAGAAGTTTGAGACCAGCCTGGGCAACATAGCAAGACCCCATCCCTCCACACACAAACACACACACACACACACACACACACACACACACACACACACACACACAAACAAGCTCTTGCCAGAATTAGAGCTACAAATTGCCCTCAGGTTCCTAGAAGATCAGTCCTTCAATTAGATTCAGATTGAGATGCTTCCTCTTTTAAACAATGATTCCCTTTCTATCATGCCCAATAAGAAAACAAATAAAAATTAAACAATACTGCCTGTAATCTCAGCTACCCAGGAGGCAGAAGCAGAACTGCTTCAACCCGGCAAGCAGAAGTTGCAGTGAAGTGAGATCGCGCCACTGCACTCCAGCCTGGAAAACAGAGCAAGATTCTGTCTCAAAAACAAAACAATGTGATTTCCTCCTCTAAGTCCTGCACAGGGAAATGTTAAGAAATAGGTCCACCAGGAAAGAAGGAAGTAAGAATGTTTGACTAGATTGTCTTGGAAAAAATAGTTATACTTTCTTGCTTGTCTTCCTAACAGTTCTCCAAAGCTTCGTACCTTGGCCAGAGGCTTGTCTCCTGCGTACCTGAGGTTTGGTGGCACCAAGACAGACTTCCTAATTTTCGATCCCAAGAAGGAATCAACCTTTGAAGAGAGAAGTTACTGGCAATCTCAAGTCAACCAGGGTGAAAATTTTTAAAGATTCACTCTATATTTTAATTAACGTCAGTCCGTCATGAGAATGCTTTGAGAAAACTGTTATTTCTCACACCTAACAATTAATGAGATTAACTTCCTCTCCCCTCATCTGACCTGTGGAGGAATCTGAACAAGAGGAGGAGGCAGTGGGCAGGTTTCCTTATCATGATGTTTGTCATGTTCAGTGTGAGGCCTCACAAAAAAAAAAAAAAAAAAAAGGCGTCCTGGATATAACTGAGAGCTCATTGTACAGTAAATATTAATAAAACAGTGATTGTAGCTGAAGGATAGAACTGCTTGGAGGGAGCAAGTGGGTAGAATCGCGTCAAACTAAAGAGCATTTCTAGCCAAAGACACAATGATAGATTGAAGGATATTTATTCTAAATATAGAATATGGGTGAACGAGATCTGTGGACTTCTGGGCTCCAACGTTAGATTCTGATTTTAGCAAGCTTGTCAGGGGATTCTGATATTGAAAGGCTGTGGCCTTCACCTGAGAAACCTGCCCTAGGGGGCCATGAAAATTTGTCCTGTCTTTCAGAAGTGCTATCAGACATCAAATGGAAGTTAAATCGTATCTTAACAATTACTAGGATGGGCGCAGTGACTCACACCTGTAATCCCAACACTTTGGGAGGCTGAGGCAGGAGGATCACTTGAGCCCAGGAGTTCGGGACCAGCCTGGGCAACATAGAGAGACGTTGTCTCTATTTTTTAATAATTTAAAGAGAAAAAAATACTGAAAATATTGTATACACCACTGAATTATAATAATGTGTATATAACGTATATATTCATTATGAGGAATATTTGATTATTTCATATATTATATCTTTTCCTTCTGTTTATTTTATCCAGTTATGAAGTATTTAGAACAATTCATCAGTAATTGGGGCTAAATTGACAGAATAGTAATCAGAGAAAATAGAAAAAGACAGATGGGTTATCTTTGAATACCAGGTTGGAGTTGTTTATGGGTTTGTTTTTTGTTTTGGGGGCGTTTTTTTAGACAGAGTCCCACTCTGTTGCCCAGGCTGGAGTGCAGTGGCACAAGCATGGCCCACTGCAGCCTTGACCTCTTGGGCTCAAGCAATCTTCCCACCTTAGCCTCCTGAGTAGCTGGGACCACAGGTGCATGTCACCACACCCAGCTAATTTTTTTATTTTTTGTAGAGACAGTCTTTCTATGTTATCCAGGCTGATCTCAAACTCCTGCACTCAAGTGATCCCCCTGCCTTGGCGTCCCAAAGTATTGGGATTATAGGCATAGCCACCACACCCAACCTAGTTTCTATTTAGACTTGGCCCTTTCCCACCAGTCATTTGTGTCCAAAAGATCTCATAAATGTAGACAGGAAACTGTCCTTTGCTCATCAGTTTTCTTCATCCTGTGTCTAGGGGGATGGTCGGTGGGGGAAACTGGGGTTATGCAAGTTCCTCTGAAACATCCTCTGTGAGCCCAGGGATGGATGAGGCACCAGCCGCCAGCGAGTCAGTGTGCAGCTTTCCAGAAAGGAAGTCATCAGCCAGTCAGCCGGCCCTGGCAGCCAGCACCCGGCAACCCTGCTGTCTTGTGATAAAGAAATGGTCTGCCTGACAGGATGGTGTGGATTTTTCTTTTTTCTTTTTTTTTTTTTTGAGACAGGGTCTGGCTCTGTCGCCCAGGCTGGAGTGCAATGGCGGGATCTTGGCTCACTGCAGCCTCTGCCTCCCAGGCTCAAGGCATCCTCCCACCTCGGTCTCCCGAGTAGCTGGGACCACAGGCACACACCACCACGCCCAGCTAAGTTTTCGTATTTTTAGTAGAGGCAGGGTTTTACTATGTTGTCCAGGCTAGTCTCAAACTCCTGAGCTCAAGCTATCCATCTGCCTTGGCCTCCCAAAGAGCTGGAATTACAAGCGTGAGCCACTGTGCCTGACCAGGGTGGATTTTTTCAAGTGCACATGTTGTGGTCCCAGAAGCTCTGATGGTACCAAATTCAAAGCGAAAAAAAGTCAACGGTTCCCACCCATCCTACCTCCCATGATGGCAAGAGGAAAACACCACACTGCAGATACAGTCCATGTAAAACAAATTGCTATGGATTTTGAAAGTGAACCTTAAGAGAACTGCACTATGTTTTCTTCATTAGAGTTCTCTGGTAATTTCCAGCTTTTTTTTTTTTTTTTTTTTTTAGACAGTGTCTCGCTTTGTCGCCCAGTGTCACCCAGGCTGGAGTGCAGTGACGTGATCTCGGCTCACTGCAACCTCCGCCTCGTGGGTTGAAGTGATTCTCCTGCCTCAGCCTCCTGAGTAGCTGTATTTTAGTAGAGACGAGGTTTCACCATTTGGCCAGGCTGGTCTCGAACTCCTGACCTCAAGTGATTCGCCCATCTCAGCCTCCCAAAGTGCTGGGATTACAGGTGTGAGCCACTGCACCCGGCCAGTAATTTCAAGCTTCTGAGGAGCCCTTTGAATTGTTAAATAACTTGTAGCTATGTCCAACATATCCATGTTCAGTGTATGTTCAATATTTCTTAGGAAACCTGCCCTTGGTTGTTTTCTTTGTGGTAATTCATGAGCCGGCAAATTTGACATGTGTTACAGAATATACCTTTTCTCTGCTCTCCTACCTCATAACCAGAACTTAATTATCCTGCTTTAGTCACATAAATAGCTAACTAAATAAATATATGCGATTTCAGTCTGCTCACTGTGAAAACAGACCTTCTAAATGATCTCTTCCACTTGCAGATATTTGCAAATATGGATCCATCCCTCCTGATGTGGAGGAGAAGTTACGGTTGGAATGGCCCTACCAGGAGCAATTGCTACTCCGAGAACACTACCAGAAAAAGTTCAAGAACAGCACCTACTCAAGTAAGAAATGAAAGGCACCCTAGAGATGTTCCAGCCCCAAAGATATTTGAATAGGTTGGACTCGGGCACCAATCTAGCAAGTCCTACGGAAGTTGTATAAAGCTGAAAATACTGAAGCATTTCCCAAATGGGAAATCCTAAACTCAAAACTTGCTTTTTGGTTTTTTTTTTGTTTGTTTTTTCTTCATCTGACATTGCTTAGTAGTCACAGAATGAAAGATAAATCAATCATTCATGATCTAACAATGACCTTCAGTGCTCTAAAAAACTACGGAGTCAAGGAAAACATGAATATATTCCTCATGTAAAATTAAAATACAGACATATAAAGGGCAAAACATGAACATCATTCATACCTTGAGGTCCGTCCCCCTCCCAGAAATAACCCCCAGTATGCCTTGGTTTAGAGCATTAGGCAGGAGGGCCCTGAGTCACTCCAGACAGTCTTGGCCACCAAGCAGCATTCTCTTTTTGTTTCCTCTGTGGCTTTTGCAAACACAGGGCTAGCTCAGCTACCCATTAGTATGTTTTCAGTCACTAAAACAGTCTTCCAGTCTTCAAATTAGGATGACATTGTCACATGGGGCTTTAAAGCAAGTGAAACAAGGAACCCCCTTTTTTTTTTTTTTTTTTGAGATGGAATCTCACTCTTGTCGCCCAGCCTGGAGTGCAATGGCGCAATCTTGGCTCACTGCAACCTCCGCCTCCCAGGTTCAAGAGATTCTCCTGCCTTAGCCTCCTATTCATTATGAGGAATATTTGATTATTCAGTTCCTGTAGGGTAAAGGTATTACCCCCGATCATATTATTGATTATTGAGTAGCTGAGATTACAGGTGCCTACCATCACGACCGGCTAATTTTTTGTATTTTTTAGTAGAGACAGGGTTTCACCATGTTGGCCAGGCTCCAGGCTCGTCTCGAACTCCTGACCTCAGGTGATCCACCCACCTCAGCCTCCCAAAGTTCTGGGATTACAGGCGTGAGCCACCACTCCTGGCCACAATCCTTTTTTAACTATGAAATATATTTTTATCTGAAGTTTGATGTTTATACCCCACTGAGGGATGATGTTCCCATATCTCAGTTAAAGAAATAACCTGCTCAGATACTTCAAGCTCTTCTTTTGACTTTTGAAAATAAATGATCTTGAAGTTACTATACTTTGTTTGGGTTAGTTAACATTATTTAAAGTATATTATTTTAATTAATTATCTTTGTAAGATTTTACTGTATACTACCTGGAGTTCAATGTATCAGATGGATTTCAAATTTATGTACATTTTTTATGTATATGGTACAGAAAAAAATGTGTTCCATAAGAAATCAAAAAATAGCGCATATGCTAATAGCTAATGTTGTCCTCTAAAAAACTTTTTTTTGCATTTTTAAGAGGGCGATCTACTCTGACACTTTAATAAGTGTAATTAATTATTGACTGGAATTTGGCATGAGGCAGGGCCATTTCAGATCCCATTAAAGGAATGACACATACCAGAGAACCACAGAAGTAAGGCCACATTTGTAATAAATCATTATAGCTCTGCTAGGAGAAGACCCAGTTGTATTAGGTAATTAATGGATTTGCTCTTAAAACACATGTCCCGGAAGATATAGGTGAGTCTTGGGGGGTCGCATTAAACATTATACCAATGTATCTTACATTTCTAAGAAAGTTTTACTACTTTACAGGATCTTTCTGTTACCAAAATGGTAGGTTTCCAACTCCAGGACTTGGCTTTCATAGTTCCTACACCAGGGGAAATGCCTTCCTTTGCTAACTATGCAACCAGGTTAGTTAGTGTAAGTCCAGCCACCCTGTTGGCAATGCTAAAAGGTACAACAAACACAGAATTTTATTTGCATTTGTAAACATTTGATTTCTGGCTCGAAATTTTCAGTTTTCATGGGCACGTCATGGAAACAGAAATCTTCTGTGTTTAGTTTGGGCACCTACTCATTGTAGTGACAAATATTTCAGAAGCTAATAGGGGATTCCACAAATTGTTCTGAACCTGTGGCTGAGACTGGTAATGGCTGAGTGACATGGGGACATACCACAAAAGAAGAGGTAGCAAAAGGCTGCTGAGATAAGGACATGTTCATTGCTTAGCTAGTGGCCTGCACCCTTAAAACACATGTCCCAGGCTGGGTGCTGTGGCTCACACCTGTAATCCCAGCACTTTGGGAGGCTGAGGCGGGTGGATTACCTGAGGTCAGGAGTTCGAGACCAACCTGGCCAACATAGTGAAACCTCATTTCTACTAAAAATACAAAAATTAGCCAGGCATGGTGGCGGGCGCCTGTAGTCCCAGCTACTCAGGAGGCAGGCAGGAGAATTACTTGAATCTGGGA
The DNA here is from genome assembly GCF_000001405.40 of Homo sapiens. NCBI lineage: Eukaryota > Metazoa > Chordata > Mammalia > Primates > Hominidae > Homo > Homo sapiens. The sequence goes on along the minus strand of NC_000004.12, from coordinate 83,316,989 downwards.
GGCAGAGGTTGTGGTGAGCCGAGATTGCGCCACCGCACGCTAGCCTGGGCGACAAAGTGAGACTCTGTCTCAAAAAAACAAAAACAAAAAACAAACAAACAAAAAACAACAACAACAAAAAAACGGGTGTCCCAGAAGATACAGGTAAGTTTTCTAACACAGGTCCTCTTGTATGGTGCGTTCCACTTAAGTAGAAGATGACAAAAACATTTGTCATGAGAATATAGACTCACATTTTAAACCTGTTTGAGCAGGAAAAGGAAGCAGTGTTACAGATGTAATTCCGGGTGTGACTGCAGAAAGGATGACTCCCTTATTAAAGTAGTCATCCTGAGTGAGCTAACTCTTTGTACTTCCTCTTCTCCTCCTGTTCCCCTCATCACCCCATTCTTCCGTTGCCTACACCCAGGCCCACATTGGATGCTGACATAGACTTACATGGTACAGTCCAAGGGAAAGATCTGCCATTTTTTTCAATGTGTCATCTTGGTTATCTTCATTCCAAGGATCTCTCCACTCTTTATACAGTAAGAGATGAGAGTCTGGAAAGGATTGGGAATAAGATAATGAATTGTAAGTTTTAAATTGTTCTTCGTATTTTGAGTAAGGAGTAGGCTAGGTGGTCCTTCTGTTTTTTTTGTTTTTTTTTTTTAAAGTAGATGTGGCCAGACGTGGTGGCTCACGCCTGTAATCCCAGCACTTTGAGAGGCTGAGGCAGGTGGATCACTTGATGTCAGGAGTTCAAGACTAGCCTGGCCAACACAGTGAAACCCCATCTTTACTAAAAATACAAAAACTAGCCGGGCTTGGTGGCGTCCACCTGTAGTCCCAGCTACTGCAGAGGTGGAGGCAGGAGAATCACTTGAACCCGGGAGGTGGAGGTTGCAGTGAGCCAAGATCATGCCATTGTACTCCAGCCTGGGCGACAGAACAATACTCTGTCTCAAAAAAAAAGAGAAAAGAAAAGAAAAAAAGAATGGATTTGAACTCAGTCGTCAATAGCCTCTATTCCAGGAGATGTTACAGTTGATTATGTTATAGGGGGTGTATAATAGAATTTCGAGCTATGTAAATTCCAAGTGCATTTGGAAGAATGAAGAAATGGAGGAAGGGTAAAGTATGAGTGCAAGCATTCCAGGTTTTTTGAAAATGCTATAATCTTTGTTCAGGGCTAGTACAAAGTGCTATTTAGCTGTAAGGGTTTTTTGTGATTTACAGACAGTTTTCACATGTGTCATTTCAACCTTGGTTTTATGGCGAAGGCATGTGATGGTGCTTGTCCCAGGACTTTAGATCCATATCTGAGGTTCCTGTCGGGCAAAGATATTACCCCTGTTCATATTATAGTCTATAAGTGGGAGAGTTGTGCCTGGAGCTCAAGTCTTATGATTTCTGATCCAGGGCACTTCCTACAACATGATTTTGCAATATAAAAGCCTATAATGTGTGACTAAAGCAGGTCACTCACCCCTTGTAACAGACTCTAGTAATGGTACTGCCACCAAACGGCTGCGTGATATTGGGCAAAGACTTACCTTATTTGAATCTCAGTTTCCTCCTAGAAAAATGAGGGTGGAGGTTAAGCATAGGCTGATGATCCTAAAGCCTCCATACTGCCTTAAACTGTGGCTCTAAGATCCAGTAGAATGCTGGGTCACAGGACTCTAGA